>NC_000012.12:112763158-112914673 GCF_000001405.40 Homo sapiens
CTAGGAAGGAGCTGTGTATTATTAGTGTTGGGCTCTGGGCATCTAGCACAGTGCCTAGGACATGGTGTGCATTCAATAAATGCTCACCGAATGAATGTGTCCATGACAAGAGTCAAACTCTGTAAAATACTTGAAGAGATTTATTCTGAGCCAAATATGAGTGACCAATGTCCCATGACACAGCCCTCAGGAGATCCTGAGAACATGTGCCCAAGGTGTTTGGGCTACAACTTGGCTTTATACATTTTAGGGAGACATAAGATATCAATCGATACATGTGAGATGTACATTGGTTAGGTCAAGAAAGGTGGGACAATTTGAAGTGAGGGCTTCCAGGTCATAGGTGGATTCAAAGATTTTCCAACAATTGGTTGAGAAAGTTATTATCTAAAGACCTGGAATCAATAGAAAGAAATGTCTGGGTTAAGATATAGGATTGTGGAGACCCAAGTTTTATTATGCAGATGAAGCTTCCAGGTAGTAGGCTTCAGAGAGAATAGATTGTAAATGTTTCTTATCAGCTTTTCTGTTAGTCTTAATGTCTGTGTTGGTCAGCTGTGCCTGAATTTCAAGAGGGAGGAGGGTATAATGAAGCATGTCAAACCTGCCCTTCCCACCATGGCCTGAACTAGTTTTTCAGGTTAACTTTGGAATGCCCTTAGCTGCGAGAAGGGTTCACTCAGGTGGTTGAGGGGCTTCGGATTTTATTTTTGGTTTATGAATGAATGAAGCAAGTGTGTGGTGGTCTGGGGCTGTGTTCCCTCAGGTCCACTGCTGTCCGTCCCCTGTCCTGTTATCATGGGGGAGGACAACCCTTTAGGCAGCATTTCCAGGCTCTCCATCTTCTGCCTAAGGGCAGCCAGTAGAAGACCTTGGCAGGATATTTGAGGGCAAAAGGAAGAGAGAACCTGGGACATTTCCAGGTTCCTTACCTCTCACTACTTTCCCCATGTAGAACCTGGAAGGTTTGCTAAAAATCACTGGCATGAGGCAGATTAACAGGAGAAAAGGCATACAAATTTATTTAATTCAGGAGCCTTCAGAATGAAGACCCAGCCCCTCAATGAGGTACAGGAGCTTATGTACCAACTTGAGATTAAGAAAGAATGCAGGCTCAGAGAATGGCCAAAAACGAGTTAAGGTAGTAAGTCAGGTTTTAGTGGAAAGACAGGTTATAGGAGTGAGAGAAGAGGAGGCTTGACTAGCAAAGGTGGTCTTGTTATGTAGCTAAAACCTCACAGGTGTCAAACCTCAGAGGGAATAGGTGGTAAATGTTTCTTTCAGACCTTTGAAGGTATAAGACTCAGTTAATCTTTCCTAGATCCTGACTAGGGAAGATCTGGATTAATGTAGATTCTTTACAGATTTCCCCAACAAAAGACAGCTTTGCAGGTCCTTTCTAGTCTGCTGGCCCTGTGGCAGCCATTTCAAAATATGTCAAAGCAATATATTTTAGGGTAAAATATTTTTATTTATTTCATCTACCCCTCTCCACCTTCCCTGCCTCTCTCTACCTGAGGTATTATTATTATTATTATTATTTTTTTGCAATGGCTATATCTCGACAGTTTCAGCTTTTACCTTATGGCTCTGGCCCCTGGGCTCTGGCATTACCTCCTTCTCCCTCTGTCTACCCAGACAATTATGGCCTCTTGCTGTAGCTAATCTCTGGGTGACCTCACCATCCCCTCTTAGCTTCTGAGCTTTTTCATCCCCCCATAACCAATTTCCTGCATTAAATTTCATCTGTTTGAAATACTTAACGTGATGTCTATTTTCCTGGTTGGTGTCTGACTGATATTAACTTGTTCCTCAAACTATTAGGAGCAAGCTGCTTCTGTATAATTGTCTGAGCCATAAAGGGACTTTGTTTTGCTTGTAAAGAAATTTTTCAGCTGCTGGTGTGAGAGAGGAATGCCACCTCTTCCTGAAGACTCTGTATTCACTAAAAGTTCTCCATTCATCAAACACTCCTGCTGCGTGTCTGCATGGTCCCAGCTGGTCGTGGGGAGCATATATGTGGGGAGTCAAGAGATATTGATCATGGGAGTGGTGGGGAGGAAGGTGCAATGTTTCAGTCATGGTGATTGTGTGTGTGTGTGTGTGTGTGTGTGTGTGTGTGTGTGTAAGATTGCTATTTTATGCCCAAATTCCAGTTTTCCAGAAGAAAGGCAGGCTGCCTAAATTTTGGCTCTGACAAGTTACAAGAGACTTGTGAGTTATTTTTGCCCACAACAAGGGTAGATTTGGTTAAGTAAAGACCCCACAGTTCCCCACTATACCTCACAGAACACAGCATGAACAAGCAATGAAGGAAAGCCCAAACTGTGGTCCTTAGTGCCTATCAGACCTGAGCTGAAGTCCTGGATTTGTTCCATATTACATTGTGGTCTTGCATAAGGGCCTTAGCATTTCTGAGCCTTGATTTCCTTATCTGTAAAATGGAGTGAATTATAGCATCCACTCCATGGAATGAAATGACTCAATGCATGTAAAATGTTCAATGTACTGCTTCATGCAATTTTCCATATAAACCTTCCATAAATACTGGCTTAAAAATAACTGAAATCTTCACACTGAGGCTGGACCATAGGCCTTTGCAGGACTGGAACCACACCTCGCTCATCTTAGTACCCATTGATTGGGCAATTATGGAAATTGATTTAGCTCCAAGGAGCAGCGGCCCATTCATATTAGCTGAGATAAAAATAGAGGTTGTTGCAGGAAACCAGGAAAACCTTTTAGAACTCAATGGCAGGAACTATGGCTGGGCTTCATTGCAACTCAGAAGTCATACTGTCACCATGGACCCTTCCCCATACACATGCTCTCAGTGCTTCTCTGCTTCATTTTATTCTCTTTAGATAGATGCCATCTCTCCATGAATCTGCTTGTATTTGATCCTTCATGGCACCCCCAAATGCCAGCTCTTGCTCCCCAAGCCTACACAAGAGGCAGATCATCTAGAAGATGAGAGCCCAAAGTTGGACTCAGATTGCCTGGGTTCACATTTCGGCACTGCCACTTCCTAGCTGTGTGAAGTTGAACTCGTTCCATACTCATGTTGTATGGATGGCAACACCAAATACCTCATTTTCCTTATCTGTGAACTTAGAACAGTAATAGCACCTGCCTCATAGGGATATTGTGAGATAAATGAGTAAATATGTGTGAAGTGCTTATAACTGCCTGGTACATAGGAAGTACTCAAGAAAGGCTAGTGATTATTACATGACTCTCCAGCTCACCTCAACCCCTGGTCTTAGGCTGGTTCCCAGGTGTAGACCCTGAAACGTGAAAATTATTGATTAAGGAGTGTTCCCATGGGAGACTGGCAGGGGGAATAGAGAAAAGGGATCACAAGGGAAGGAAAGGAGGCCAAGCAGGAGGTGTTACCAAGCCATCCTAAGGAAGGCAAGCTTGGCTTAAACCTGCAGAAGCCACTCTAGATACTACAGTCATGCCTGGGTGTTGTCCTCATTAGGAGGTGAGGGAGCTGGAGTATTTATTCCTACGCCTGTCAGTCATGGTTTAAGGGAACTCCCAGACATGTTAGGCTCTCTGTGTCATCCTGAGAGGCAGCCAGTGTCACAACGATGATAAAGGGATCCAAGGGGATGAGTCTGCATGGAGCTCTGAGAGCATTTGTTGCTCCTCCCTATGGAGCAGCATAGCTCAGTCTTTATATCCAAAATTCAAACCCCCAGCAGCAGAAATATGACTGGACCCAGGTGAGTGGGGTGACCACCTCTTTCCCAAACATGTGTGGCTGGGGCCCCAGAGCACACACAAAGGCGCGTTTCAAGGAGGGCTATAGGTGAAACAGGGTTAATGAGAAATTGCTGAGGAGGATGGTTGACGTCCCAAGGATGTAGATGCTCCACAGAAATGTCTGTTGGCAGAATGCTGTGTACCCAGTGCCGTGCCAGGCTCCTCACTCATGCAAAGATGGCAAAGACAGGGGCCCCACAGCTTCCTCTTTGATATAATATCAAGATAGTGGTTTTCCCAGTGGCCCAGAGAACTTTTTAAGGGCAGGGACCATGTCTTATTGACCACCATATCTAGTCCACAGTAGAGGCATAATATTTGTTGAGCTGAGCTGATGTTTTTGAGGTCAGCTGTGGGGAGGGCAATGCTATTGGCATCCTCTCCTACCCCTTATTGTCCTCCTCCTCAATCTCACCCTCTGGCAGATCCACTCTCACCCGTCTTATCTGGCATCACCCAGGATGAGAAGGGCCCGCCAGGGAAGCAAGTGGATGCTGGCGTGGAACCTACACTGAACTGCATGGCGTGGCATTCGGGTCTCAGACACAGCTCTGCCTGACTCTGTATGAAATCAGGGCCTCCGTTTCCCCAGTCCAGTGAGGGTCTGGCTAGGAGCTTTAGTGATGCCACTATTCAATAAGGCAGTTAACAAAACAGTCCAGTGGGCTAGCACTGCTGTCAGACTTCTACATTCAAATCCCAGCCCTTCCCCTCTCTGGTTTGTCCTTGGGCAAGTGACTTGACCTCTCTGTGTGACAGTTCCCTTATATGAAAACTGGGTATGACAATAATAGTATCATCCTCACAGGACTTTGGTGGGAATTTAAGAAGATGGGGCATATTATTCAGCCATCAAAAGAACTGAAGCACGAATATGTGCTACATCACGATGAACCTTAAAAAAAATCATGCTAAGTGAAAGAAACCTGCTGCAAAAGGCCACATGTTACATGATTTTATTTGTATAAAATTTCCAGAAGAGGCAAATCCATAGAGACAGAAAGTAGATTAGTGGTTGCCAGGGGCTGTGAGGAGAATGGGGAGTCACTGCTAATGGATATGGGGTCTCTTTTGGGGATGATACAATGCTCTGGAATTAGACAGTGGTAACGGTTGTACAATCTTGTAAATATACTGAAAACAATTGAATTGTACACTCTAAAATGATGAATGTTATGGTTTGTGAATTATGTGTCAATTTAAAAAATAGAAATAAAAGATATGGTATGCAAAGCCCCTGACTCACGGTAACCGCATGATAAACCATCTTTCCCTTGGATTATTGCAGTGACCTCAATGGTTCCCCCTCCTCTCCCCTTGCTCCCCATCAGAACATTCAGTGGTGTGTGAGTTCATGTCACTCCTGCTCTCTAAACTCTTCCATGGCTTCCATCTTGGAGTAAAAGCCCAAGTCATTACAGTGGCCTATTGCACTCTACACCACCTGGCTCTTGGCTTCCTCTCTCATCTTCTGGGATTCTCCCCTTGTCCTCTCTGCTCCAGCCATGTTGGCCTCTTGCTGCTCCTCACACCTATGCCAGGCACGTCTCTGCCTCAGGGCCTTTGCACTTGCATTCCCTCCACCTTAAACACACTTCCCTTAGAGCTATGCTGGCCTTGTTCTTTTGCCTCCTTCAGGTGTTTGCTCAAACATCATCTCATTGAGACTTTCCCTGACCACTCACTATATTTAAAATAGAGGGCTGGATACAGTGGCTAATGCCTATAATCTCAGCCATCTGGGAGGCTGAAGTGGGAGGACTGCTTGAAGCCAGGAGTTGGAGTCCAGCCTGGGAAACTTAGCAAGGCCCCATCTCTACAAAAATACAAAAGTTAGCTGGGCATGGTGACACACTTCTGTAATTCTAGCTACTCAAGAGGCTAAGGAGGGAAGGTCATTTGAGCCCAGGGATTTGCGGCTGCAGTGAGCCATGATTGCTCCACTGCACTCCAGCCTGGGTAACAAAGCAAGACCCCGTCTCAAAAAAATGAAATAGCATATATGAAAAACAAAAAAACCTTCCTACTCTAGTACACCCTATTCACCTTCCCAGATTATTGTTTCCTGTTATTCTTATGTTTAATGCCAGCTTCGTGTTCGTGTTAGCCCCATGACCACAGGATTTCTGTATCTTGTTCATGACTGTATTCCTAGTACCTAGCACAGTGCCTGGCACAGTCAGTATTCAATATTTTTTGACTGAATAAATAAATGTTAGCTGTTATGATAACCTATAATAAACTTTCTGAGACTTTCAATCTTTTCATTTCCCTCTCATGGGTTTCTCTTGCAGATTTTAACTTGACGCCTCTTTGAGGCTTCTTTCTTCCTTCCAGTTTATCTCCATTGGGTGCTGGTTTTAGAGGCAAACGTTTTTCTTGTGGTGTAATTATGAAGTTGCTCTAGAAAATAGTTTCATCTCACGTTGAAGTAAACTCTCTTTTTTAAAATAACAAGACCAGAACCCGCTACTGAATTCTTCACTGTTATGAAATTAGTTTTCTAAAGCTGACGTGGAAGTTAATTTGTGTATTGCTGTCAGTTGGAAGGCTTTGAAGTTAATTGTCTTAGCTAACCTTGTAGAGATCTAACCATGTTACGTTTAGCGCATAAAAACATTTATCTCCTCATTGGTGTCTGGTGGGACTGAAAGTCCCGCCTTATTCTCTCTTGAGTAGGAGAATATAATTTTTGTTGATTTCAAAATTAAGATGAGGAACTAATTGGTAGTGGAAAGAACTCTTAGATTGGGAGGCAGATTCTAGACTTTAGATTCTAAAAATAGCTGTTAAGTTCACTGACCATATGGACTGGGGTCAGGCTATTCTTTCTGAACCCTTTAATGAAGGGTACATTCTGATATAATTTGTGATCACACAAGTAATACAGAAATACATTCTTATAAAAAATGAGATTTACAAATAAGGCTAACATCATCTTTGACCACAACTCCCTGGTGTCCCTGAAGTATCCTGTCATATGATAGATTTATATATTTCCAGATGATTTGTATGCATTTGTATATTAACTTACAGTATTGTTTTGTGAATGCATTTCTTCAAAGACTGTACAGATACTATCAGATTGTATCACAACTTGCCTTCTTCACCCAACATTGTGTCTTGGAGTTCTTTCCACATTAATACATATGTATTTCTGATATTGTTAAATAGCTTCATGGCATCCCATAATACAGATGTATCATGACTTATTTAGTCATTTTGTTGTTATTGAATGTTTAGGCTATTTTCAGTTTTTCCCTATTACAGACCAGGTTGTAATGAACATCTTTGTTCCAGCCTCCCCTCAGGCAGACACTGAGAAATGGAGTGGCTGTCTCAGAATTCTGTCATTCTTTTATTTATTTATTTATTTATTTTAGAATTTCTTTTTGTTTCTTTCTTTCTTTTTTGTTTGTTTTGTTTTGTTTTTTGAGACAGGTTTTGGCTCTGTCACTCATGCTGGAGTGCAGTGGCGAGATCTTGGCTCACTACAACTTCTGCCTCCCTGGCTCAAGTGATCTTCCCATCTCAGCCTCCTGAGTAGCTGGGACTACAGGCGTGCACCACCATGCCTGGCTAATTTTTGTTTTTGGTAGAAATGAGGTTTTGCCTTGTTGCCCAGGTTAGACTCGAACTCCCGAGCTCATGTGATCCACCTGCCTTGGCCTCCTAAAGTGTTGCAGTTGCTAGGCTCATGCCTGGCAATTCTGTCATTCTTAAAGTAGAGGACTTAAACAAGTTAAACTTTAAATCATTTCCAGTAATTACCCTGCTATAACTGGGGTCCCATGTGGCCCAGTCTTTGTTCCATCTTCATTCAAAGAAACAACAGTTTGGCAGAAAATATAATTGAACACAATTGCATGTTTCACTTGAATGCTTGGGATACCCCCAACGGTAGTGTGGTGGTATGGCTTGGGGCAGGGGTCAGAGTTAGAAGTACATTATTTTCAGTGAATGTGTTTGTTTGTTGCTTTCAGGTATTATTTTGATTATTTTGATTTCAAATAAAATTGTGTTTCTCCTTGTTGAGATTGGCAGGCCAGTTTTGTGTCTATGTTATTTTAAATTATGCATATACACACAGACAGGAAAGGTACAAGTGGTTGCAAATTAAAGGAGTAGAAAGAATACAAGGTTAAACCCTTCCCCCACATCTGTTCCCTAATTTTCTTGCTAGAGACACTGTCTACTTCCAGTCTCGTATGTGTCCTGTTGCCTATTTAAGTGAATCTGCTTAAATACAAATGGTAGCATACTGAACATATATTTTGGACACTTGTCTTTTAAATTTT
This sequence comes from Homo sapiens, assembly GCF_000001405.40. NCBI lineage: Eukaryota > Metazoa > Chordata > Mammalia > Primates > Hominidae > Homo > Homo sapiens. The sequence goes on from NC_000012.12 coordinate 112,771,228, forward strand.
TTAATTATGGAAAAATTCAAACATGCACAGGAGTAGAGAGGATAGTATGATAAATCCCTCTGTACTTCCCATTTGGTCTCAAGAATTATCAGTATATGGCTTTTGCTTTTTCAACTATATGAAACACTTTGGATCTTGTTCCAATTCAGTTCATTTAAACTTGCCTCATTTATTTTCACAGTTGCTTAGTATTCTATAATAAAGATGTTCCATAATTCATTTACCCAGTCCCCTTTAGATGGACATTTATATTGCTTCCCTTCTTATGTCACTACAAACAATGCTGCAATAAATATACTTTTATATCCATCTTTGGGCATATGTTTGAATAAATCTGTGAGAAATTCCTGGAAATAGAATTGCTGAGTCAAAGAGATGTGTATTTAAAATATTGATATAAGTACTGCCAAATAGCCTATTGATGGAATTTTATTAATTTTCACTCTCACTAAGAGTATCCAAGATGGCTCACTTCTTCATATGCTTACCAACACAATGTGTTATCGCATTTCTAATCTTTAAAATACACTCTCCTAGTTTTGTTTCTAAATAGACATGAAATCTATTTAGTAAGTTGTAAAATCCTACCTATCTAGGGGATAGAAGTCAGCATAGAATAGAAAATATCAAAGAACATCACTTTATAAGAAAATACAAAGAACATGACTTACTTGAGGGCAAGTGTAGTTTTGTGAAACTTTGGCTTCAGTCATACATTTGTTTAAGTGTATGTATAAACTGGATTATTACATAGAAATAAATTTTTACTGTGAGTCTTGGTCTAAAGAGTTTGAAAACATTGCCCTACAATGATGACAGCTACTTTCTAGAATATTCTTCTCTCATTTTCACTTCTCATTCTAAAATAAAAAAGAAAATTCCTTAAGCCCTCTCTTACTTGCCCTTCCCTCTTTCCCTTATGCCCCGGGTTTTATCCTGTGAGAAAAATGTTCTGATGCAAATCCATGTCAGTCCCTCTTCCGGCAAGTCACCCAATTCCTCCTCACTTCCTGCTGGAATCAGAGCTGGCACAGAGGGCCTCAGGGATGAGTTGCTGATGACATTATTTTACAAAGGGGGCACTATTTACATTTAGGGCAGCACTGGTCTCCAAGGCGAGGGGTTGTCCTGTACATAACAGAGCATTTAGAATCCTTGGTCCCAGACACAAAATGCCGGGAGCAACCTCTAAGTCGCTGCAATAATGGAAATGCCCACTCCTTACCTTTCTAAGTGCCCCCAAGGGGGCTGTATCATCCCCAGTAGAAAGCCTGGCTGCTGGTGCCTGGGGGTGGTAGAAACAATAGCTAAGGTTGTACTCTAAATGACTTTTGTACCAATCACCTTTCTTTAAGTCTTATATCACATGTCAAGTACTTAGAGAAGTGGTTGGTGCGTGGTAAGCGCTCAATAATTATTAGTGATTATTATTTATTAGTAGTAGTATTGTCATTTGGGGCATCATTCTCTTAGGCTTGCACAGAAATTAATTAATTAATTATTTAATTTATATATATATTTTCCATAAGTTATTGGGGTACAGGTGGTATTTGATTACATAAGTACGTTCTTTAGTGGTGATTTGTGAGATTTTGGTTCACTCATCTCCCGAGCAGTATACACTGCACCATATTTGTAGTCTTTTATCCCTCACCCCCTCCCACTCTTCCCCTCAAGTATCCAAAGTCCATTGTATCATTCTTATGCCTTTGTGTCCTCAGAGCTTAGCTCCCACATATCAGTGAGAACATATGATGTTTGGTTTTCCATTGCTGAGTTCCTTCACTGAGAATAATAGTCTCCAATCTCATCCAGGTCACTGCAAATGCTGTTAATTCATTCCTTTTTATGGCTGCATAGTATTCCATCATATATATATTATATATATATGGTCTATATATGTAGTGTGTGTATATAAATATATATATACCACAGTTTCTTTAGCCACTTGTTGATTGATGGGCATTTGGGTTGGTTCCATGATTTTGCTATTGTGAATTGGGCTTACACAGAAATTTAAATGGGAGGAGAAAATGGATAACCCCATCCCTTTTGTTGAAGGATGGGGTTTTGCCAAAGAGAAAGAGAAGTAAAACTTAATGACAGTGGATTTGGTTCCTTGGTGCAGAAAAGATCCCCCCTCCTTTTCCATTACAGGGCCTGACCCCAGCTTTGAAATGTGAAGTTTTGATTGCTAATACAAATTGAATTTATTTGTTTTTTTTTCTCACTTTCAGCAATGTCATCTTTTTTTAAAAAAATAAGTATAGGCTGATGAAACATATTTAAATAGAGAGATTAAATTAGTTTTCATTTGCTACTTTGAAATGTTTTAATCCCCTGAAGAGAATGATTAAAGCTCTTTGCAGAGGGTAGGGGTGTATTTTTTTTAAGTTGATGTTTATATGCAACATTCCATTTTTGCACTTCCTGGTGTTGGCGGATAGAATGATTTCATTGCCTACCTCACCAATGGGCCACAATGAGAGGTGGGGGTGGGAGCAGGACTGAAGCTGCTGCTGGGAAGGAAAAATCAAGTAACAAGAATGCTTTGTAAAGAAAGGCAGTAGGGGCCAGGCATGGTGGCTCACACCTGTAATCCCAGCACTTTGGGAGGCCGAGGCAGGCGGATCACCTGAGCTCAGGAGTTCGAGACCAGCCTGGCCAACATGGTGGCACCCCTGTCTCTACTAAAAGTATAAAAATTAACTGGGCATAGAGGCTCATGCCTGTAATCCCAGCTACTACTTGGGAGGCTGAGGCAGGACAATCGCTTGAGCCCGGGAGGCGGAGGTTGCAGTGAGCCGAGATCACGCCACTGCACTCCAGCCTGGGCAAAAAAAAAAAAAAGAAAAAGAGAAAGGTAGAAGTAAAGGATGCCAAGAAACAAGAAGATGGACATAGCATATCCTGACAAAGGAACAAGCCATGCTGTGCAATAATAATAAATATACACACACAGATATATAGAGAGGTATATCTATGTATGTATATGTACAGAGATAGATATTTTGGATTAAAATTTTACAAATAAAAGCAAAGAGGTTGGAACGAATGGGGAATTCTCTCAGGCATCAAAGTTAAGTTTCCAGATTGTCACTGACACATAATGTATTATGCTGATTAAATGTAACTAAAATATTTATGGAAAGAGAACATTAAACCTTATCCAGCTGCCAGTGTCCTGGATATAGATGAGAGCACTAGATTGAGAGTCTGGAGAACTGGGTTCACCCGCTGGAGCTTCCTTTCCCTGGTTTGTGACTCTCTCAAGACACCAAGTTTCTTAGCCTCACATCCTCATTATAATAGGTCCACTTCTTACTTTGAAAGGTTTGGGTTGGTGAGAATGAAAATCCTTTGTTGGCAGCCTTAAAAAGGAACGAGATCATGTCCTTTGCACATGGATGAAGCTGGAAGCCATTATCCTCAGCAAACTAATGCAGGAACAGAAAACCAAACACCACATGTTCTCACTTAACAAGTGGGAGCTGAACAACGAGAACACATGGACACAGGGAGGGGAACAACACACACTGGAGCAGGTCGGGGGGTGAGGTAGGGGGCGGAGAGCAGTAGGAAAAATAGCAGTAGGAAAAATAGTAGGAAAAATAGGAAAAATTGCATGCTGGGCTTAATATCTAGGTGATGGGATGATCTGTGCAGCAAACCAGCATGGCACATGTTTACCTATGTAACAAACCTGCCCAGCCTACACATGTACCCCAGAACTTAAAATAAAAATGAAAAAAAGAAAATCCTTCAAAGAATATAAAATTGTCTATAAGAACATGGCATATGGGAACAACACACACTGGGGCCTGTTGAGGGGTGGGGTTAAGGGGAGGCAGAGTATTAGGAAGGATGGTTAATGCATGCTGGGCTTAATACCTAGGTGATGGGTTGATAGGTGCAGTAAACCATTATGGCCCATGTTTACCTATGTAACAAAGCTGTACATCCTGCACATGTACCCCAGAACTAAAAACAAAAACAAAAAATCAAAAAAAAGTTTGGAAAAAACCACAGGCTATTGAATAAAACAAATATGAATACCAAAAAAAGGGAACATAACATATGTTTAAGTGTAATAATAAGCAAATGCTAAGGATCCATTCATCCACCAAGAATTTGCTGTGCATGTACCATGTGCCAGGCACTGTGTTAGGTCCTGGGAATCCAGGGATGACTACTTTGAGGGATATAGAAAGACAGTGCTAGATGTGTATGTCAGTAGAGAGAGATTAGAATTCAACTACTCTAAGACCTTTATATTGTCTTGGATGAGGGTACAGAAATTGATTCATTTTAGATTAAGTCACATAAGCATATTAAAAATAGAAGGTAAGTTCTGAAAGAATAGGAAAAGAATATAACTTCTAAACTAGCAGTGGGAGAAATAGAAGACAGGAAAGGCAGGGGAGGGAACCATGGACAAGGCAGAGTAAACAGAAAATACAAAATCAGATGACAGAATGAACTTCAAATATAGCAGTAATCATAGATGCAAATGGTCTAAACTCACCAGCTAAAAGATAAAGATAAAAAATGGGGCAGTGGTGGTAGGGGGAAATCCAGCTATAGCTAACACATAAAATACAGAGAAAGGTTGCAAAGAAACATGGTCCTTTTCCAGGGGTAGATTATAATTGTGTCAAACACATCTTTTATCTCTACTTACATTTCCCCCTTTCTCTGGGGACTTTATACTAAAGCAGGGATTATGTTAAATTGACTGAGTAGAAGTCAGGGGTGAGGGAGAAATGAAAGGAAAGAGGATTTATTGAGTCAGGTACTGTGCTGGGTGGTTTTTAAAAGGGAAGAAACTGGCATAGGTTAGAAATGTACATTCTGGTATAGCTTATTGGTCAAATGCCCAGACCGTGGTGTCAGACAGACCTGGACTTGGTTTCCAAATCATTTAATCATTCATTTACTCATTTAACTAATATTTATTGAATATCTACTATGAGTGAAGAAGTCTGCTAAGAAGTCACTTTAATTTCTCTATGACTTAGTTTCCTCATTGTATCAGTTATCTATTGCTACAATAGTGCTGTGTAAGAAACCACTACAAAAAACCCCCCCATAGCTTATAACAATAAACACGCTCTTATTGCTCACTAGTCTATAGGTTGGCTGGGCAGTCATGCTGATCTGGGAGGAACTTGGCTATCTTGCTCAGCTTGATGATAGGTTGGTGAGTCTCTGGGAACTGGCTGGTCTAAGATGGCCCTGGTTAGGAAGCCTTGGTTCTATCTTATGTGGCTTCTCATCTTCCAGCAGGCTAGCTTGGATTTATTGTTATGGTAGAGGCAGGGATGAGAGAGAGAGAGAAAGAGAAAGAAAGAGAAAGTGCAAAGCCGGCTGGGCACAATGGCTCACGCCTGTAATCCCAGCACTTTGGGAGGCTGAGGTGGGAGGATCACAAGGTTAGGAGGTCAAGACCATCCTGGCTAACATGGTGAAACCCCGTCTCTACTGAAAATACAAAAAATTAGCTGGGCGTGGTGGTGGGCGCCTGTAGTCTCAGCTACTCGGGAGGCTGAGGCAGGAGAATGGTGTGAACCTGGGAGATGGAGCTTGCAGTGAGCCGAGATCATGCCACTGTACTCCAGCCTGGGCGACAGAGTGAGACTCCATCTCAAAAAAAAAAAAAAAAAAAAAAAAAAAAAAAAAAAAAAGAAAGTGCAAGGCCTCTTAAAGTCTAGGCTCATAGCACTCTATTGGCCAAAGGAAGCACAGGTCAAATTCAGTTCAAAGGGTGGAGAAGTTAACTCCATCTCTTGATGGGCAGAGCTACAAAATTACATTGCAATGTGAAGTCACGTTGCAAGGGGCATGGGTACAGGGAAAGGAAGAATTAAGGCCATTTTTGCAACCAATCTACCACACTCATCTATTTATGCAGAGATAATATTAGCACCTACTTCTTAGAGTTATTGTGAGAATTCAGTTGGATCATGCATATAAAGCAGTGATTTCGAGTCAGGTTTACAGGAGGCACTCAGCAAATATTAGCCCTTGCTGCTGCTGCTGTTGTGATCATCAGTGTTAATATTATTATTAATTTGGGTCCTCCTCATCCCTGTGCATCTGCTCAATGCAGTTCAGAGGTTCAAATCCCCTAGTAGCTTCTGCTTCTGCATGCCTTATTGTTTTTCCTCTTAATAAAAGAGCAAGTCTGTTGATAGAAAACTTCCTTGATTTTGTGAATGCAGACGCCACTGTGTGTTAGCCTCCTTTGGCCATTAGCTGTCAAGGCAGCAAGGCAGCGATCTATTTAAAGAACACGTAGGTGCCTCTGCTTTTTGCCATCAAAACTGTGCCAGAGATGGAGATACCTCTGAAGTAGGGGCTGAAGGGTCCTGACATGAGACAGGACCTCTGTTTGCCATCTGCATTTACTCAAGAAAGGGTAGTTAATTGCCTAGTGAAGTTGGTTTCCTTATGTTAATTAATGATGCTAGCAGCTGAACATGAATAGGATATTGTTTATTTTTACTTCCAAAGGAGAGAGATTGAGGCTTGAGTCAGAAATGCAGCACAGGCTGCAATTTTGCTAAATTCTATAGTCTTGCTCACAATACCGCAGCAGGATGGCTGCTTTTTTGGCTGAGCTAGGATAAAAGGTAGTGCTGGGCCTTGGCTTTGTTGGAGCTTCTGTTTATTGACAAGGAAAGAATCTCCAAAATGCTTTTTGTCATGTAGGATAAACCTCAACAGTGGTGAATGCATAGGCCTGACATCAGCTTCTCTTCCATATGGGAGGCACCAGCATTTACAGAAAGAATTCACATTTGGGGAGAAGAGCGTAACAAATTTATTGACAGAAATTCCCACCAATCTTAATTTTTTTAAAAGAAGGGAAACACCTTCTTCTGAGTTCCATCCCCAAACACAAGAAGAGCCAGAGATGAAATGTGTTAGTGATTCATCAAAAAACAGATTTTAGTTTCCCTTATTTTTAGAAGTAGCTATCTAGGTATTGGGTTCTGTCAAATGAGAGAGAGATTATATTTGGAAATCCTAATTATGGAGAGGCTTTCTTTAAAAAGCAGCCTAAAGCCAAACTGGCTCCCACTGATGCTTCTTTAGTTGTTTCTTTTTTCTCTTTAATCCTTCTGACACCCTGAAAGTAGTTCACACATAGAATTAAAAGAATCCATTTTGCCCATCCTCGATGTTTACTTGACTTTGTAGTTCCAGAAGCCATAATCTCATTCTCTGGCCATCACTTTGAAGAATAATGTCAGGAAATGTATGAATTTAATTTTTTTTAGTTGGAACACAATTTGAATAGGCTAAAGCAAAGCAAAACAACAACAACAAAAGGCAGGGGAACGTTTTGTTTTACATTATGGAAAAGTGTGGGGGCTTCAGGCATGGCTGGATTCAGGTGCTCATATAATGGCGTCAGGAATCAGTTTCTTACATTGCTCTCTCTCTTTTGCATAGGCGTCAACTTCAGGCTGGAGGATACAAAGAAGCCTCTTGGCAGCCCCAGGCTTACATTGTAGCAACTTAGCAACCCTGATGAAAATGATATGCCTCTTTCCTAAGAATGCCTGCAAAAGTTTCAGATAGGAATCTCATTGGCTTGCATTGAGCCACATGCACTTCTTTGCACTAATCATTGTGGCCAGGGGATGAGATAGATGAATTAATTAGGCATGGACATGTGCTAACTCCTGGAGTATAGGGAGGCATCAGCTCCACCCAAACCTCCACCTGAAAGGACTGACTGTGGGGAAGAGGTGGTTTACCAGAAGGACAATCAGGAACAGGGAATGCATGCTTACCTGGCAAAGGTAGCAGAAAGTCTTTGGGAGAATGTGCTAGTCTGGGTCCTCCAGGAAACAGACACCAAGACAGGAATAGATGTGCTAGGATTTGATTAGGAGAAAGGCTGATGGGAGAAAATAGGGAGGTGGCCAGAGAAGGCATAAGGAGCCACTGGACCCCCAAGTGAAGGGGAGAGGGAAAGAAGGCTGGGAGCGAGTGTCCTAGACTCTCATGCAGCCTAAAGGCGCTTCAGCAAGGTGTCGAGGAGTCCTCCAGCCAAAGTCTCTGTCGGAGGAGTCCCATGTCTCCCAGGGACAGGCCAGTTTTAGTATCCCTGCAGCATTCCATTATTGGCTGGGAGCTGCCCATGGGAAGCATGGCCTCATTTGCACTGATGGATTTGAGAGTGCAGCAGCTGGGGCCTTCAGTCAATTAAGCTTCCTGTAGCTGCGGGTCTGCAAAGTACTTTCTCATGGCCACTATATAATAACTCATATTCATACAGTATCATATAGATTAAAAAGTGTTTTTGTAGCTGTCAGCTTAGTTTAATAATATGATCATCACCCCCTTCCATTGTACAGATGGAGAAGGTGAGGTAGGGCTGATTATGATTTATCCAAGGCGGCTTTGCTAGTTAGTGAAGAAGTAGACTCACACTCTGACCACCATCTCCATACCCATCACACCTCCACTGTATGGAGGGTTGAATAATGTCCCCCTAAAATCCATGTCTACCCAGAACCTCAGAATGTGACCTTATTTAGAAATAGAGTCCTTGCAGATATAAACACTCAGGTTAAGGTGAGGTCATCCTGGATTAGGATGAGCCCTAAATCCAATATGATTGGTGTCATCATACGAAGAGAGAAATGGACACAGACATAAAAGAGACAGAGGGAAGAAGGCCATGGGGTGATGGAGGCAGTGATTGGAGTGAAGCAGCCACAAGCCAAGAAACTGCAAGGACTGTCGGCCACTGCCAGAAGCTGGGAGATTGGCCTGGAACAGATTCGTCCCCAGAGTCTTCAGAGCGAACACGGCCCTGCTGAGGTCTTCAGTGAAAATGGCAAAATTTTCCTTCAGTATCTCTTTCTATATTCCTTGTCTGTTCTTCCTTTTCTCCCCTTTATGTAACCAGCACTCTCATAATGCCTCTCTTTTGGGGGCTCATGTTGGCCTCATCTTTAAAAAATTTTATTGATTGAGGGGGTACATGGGCAGGTTTGTTACATGGATGTATTGCATTATGGTTAGGTTTGGGCTTCTAGTGTAGCCATCACCCAAATAGTAAAAACTGTACCCCATGGGTAATTTTTCAATCCTCGCCCCTCCCACCCTCCCTGCTTTTGGAGGCCCCAGTGCCTGTTCTTTCCCTCTGGAGGCCTCATTTTTGTGAAAACATCTCATGTCCCCTAGGTTTTCTCTTCTTCCTTCAAAACTTACCTGTCCTGTATCCATTCTCTCAAATCTCTTTCACCTGTTAGGGATAAGCCGATAAACGTAATCTTGCAAACTAGAAAGGAGTATTTCTTCCAGATAACATTGGCATTTTCATGACGATTTTTATTACCTTCAGATTCAACAGGCATTTGTTGAACACATGCTATTTGCTGAGCTCCATATGGGCCGTTTCATGTGTTTTAATCCTGTTTTATCCTTACAAACATCTAGACAGGTAGACACTCTTCTTCCATTTTACCAATGAAGATGGAGTGTCTCAGAACCTCTGCTTCCTTTCCCTGCAGCTCCCTATGCGGGTATCAGAATGGCCAACAAGGAGACGCGATTTTGTGTTTTGATACCCTGAAAGACTGACTTAAGAATGACATGAAACTTCCTATGAAATTATCCTCTGGTAGCCGGGCATGGTGGCTCAAGCTGAAATCCCAGCACTTTGGGAGGCTGAGGCGGGTGGATCACCTGAGGTCAAGAGTTTGAGACCAGCCTGGCCAACATGGTGAAACCCTGTCTCTACTATTAAAATAAATCAATAAATAAGCCAGGCCTGGTGGCACATGCCTGTAGTCCCAGCTACTGGGGAGGCTGAGGCAGGAGAATCGTTTGAACCCAGGAGAAGGAGGTTGTAGTGAGCCCAGATCATGCCATTGCACTCCAGCCTGGGCTACAGAGTGAGACTCCATCTCAAAAAAACAAAACAAAACAAACAAAAAAACCAAAACAACAACAACAACAACAACAAAACAAAAAAAAATATCCTCTGGAACTTACCTGGTTCCCTTGGAAAACCAACAGGCATTTCCAAGTGCAGCCAGACTTGTGTCCCTTGGGATTTTCTCTCTGTTCATTTACTTTGCTGGAAAGGGCTCGCAAGAGGTTCTTGGGTTTGTCGTCTGATTGAACACGACTGTTCCACGTGGCTGCGACTTTAGAACCATCAGCTCTGGGGCAGAAGACTTGCAGCTGATCTCCTCCCTGCAACCATCACTTCCCATTTTTTTGCCCAAGCCTCCTCTTCTGTGTGGTTCGGGACCATGAGAGAGCCCCTGGGTGAATGGGGGGCCTGAATTTCTCTCTATTCAGTTTCTTTGTAGTTTCCTGGGTGTGGTGGTATTGGTGGAGGATCAGTGAGCTATTGGCGTTGGCCCAGAGTAAGAACCTCTCACCCAGGAAATAAATGGCTCATAAAATGGTGCCCTTTTCATCCATTCATTCATTCATTCACTCAATCATTCGTTCATTCATCAACTATTTATTTGGTATTTATTCTGTGCCAGGCTATCATGTTAGATACACAAGAAAGACATGGCTTCTGTCCTCAAGGAATCGCTATAGCCAGCAATTCTGGCATTGATCTTCTAGGATGATGATCTAGTCCAGGTCTTCCTGTTCAAAGAGAGAAGCATCTAGAAAACATGGAGTTTCTTGCAGAATCCCTTAGTTACTGACATATTCCATTGCTGATAACTAAACATGCAATTCAGGGTGGTCAGTTGTCTCTCCCACTTTCCCACGCTGGGGATCATGATGGAAGGATACAGGCTATTATGGAAGCTGAATTATGTGCAATGGGGGCAGAGAAGAGGAGGATCCAACCATATTGGGAGCAGTTCGGGATGGGTCCTGGGGAGAGTGGACAGATACTCTGTTCCTGTCCCATGCAGGCCCTTCAGCATTTATTCAATACAACGCAATGCTTAAGAGCATGGGCTCTGACATCAGACAAATGTGAGCTAAGCCCCTGCTTGATTACCTGCTAATGCATGAGGCTCAGTCTTCTCATCTGAGAAATGGGGATTAATTTTAGGATCTATTTTCCAGGGTAACTCTGAGTATTAAACAATATCCTGAATGTAAAGAACTTAGCTGAAGTCTTGGGAATTTGTTGTTATCATCCTTCACAAACTCTGGGGAGACTACCAGGAATCAGAAAAGAGGAGCTTCAATCTGGACTGGTGTAATCAGGGAGGTCTCCTTGGAGGAAGTGACCTTTTGGTCTCTAAGCTTGGCAAGAACAGGGATGGTATCCCTTTTCCGTCTTTCTGTATTCTTAGCACCTGGCATAAATCAGTCCTCAGCATATGCTTGTTGAGTGAATAGATGAGTGACTGACCAGGATCTTGAAGAAAGAATAGGAAATGCACGTGGAAGGGACTTTTCAGTATTTCTCTCTTCCCAGGGACTGTATTTATGAATGGAGTCATCTTTTCTATTTCTCCTTATTTTCCTTTTAATAAAGAGATTACAGCTTTTCATGGATATACCAAGACTATTCTGGTGTGGAGCTGCTTCACTTCCCCTGGTATGGGATGTGCCACTATTTATTTAAATGACCCCCTGTTGTCAGACACTTAGCTTGTTTCCAATTTGTCATTGTTGTAAGTGATTCTGTGATGATCATCTCTGCACGTACATCTAATTATTTCCTTAGGTTAAATTCCTGGACAGAGTCTCATGGGTCACACAGTAGGTATGTGTAATGTCTTAAGATTTTGGACACACAGTGTTAGATCACCTTCTAGAGAGGCTGTGCCAGTTTCCCTTGCCACCTGCCTGTCAGCTCATCTGCTTGCTAATCTGCTGCCTGAGAGATGGGCTCTCACCATTTCTGTAGCACTTGTCACTGCCTTCCCTGCTTGGCCAAGTGGGAATCGTGGGGTGAGCTCGTCTCTCCATTCTTCAAGCCTGCTGGATATCTGTCGTGTCACGTTAGGATTACGTAAGTGTGAGGCTGAGAAATCTCCTTGGAGGAGAGAAACTCCCCAGATGTTGGAGTCAGTGCTGGAGTAGGGAAGAAGAGGTGCCCAGGGCATTGAGAGACTGGTTACATGGCATTGCCCCACCCCCTACCCCACTTCCCTGGTCTCCCGTGGAGGTAACTGATCCAATCTCTTCCTTCCCACCTCACATGCATAATAGAAATAAACATTCTCTATGCTCTGCCTCCCACATCCCTTTTATAACTCTTGCCACACTTGTCACACTCCTGTCACGTTTTTCTATATCTCCACTGGCCGGTAGCTTGGAAGGGTGGAGTCTTAGTCATTTTGGTATCTCCAGCATCTGACATAGGATAACAATAAAAAATGAACAAAGTGAAGGTAATAATATAGTAGTAGCTAATGTGTTGGGCACCTACTATGTGCCAAGCCCTTTATATATTTTATCTCATTGAATAATTCCAAGAAACACATGTTGTACATATTATTATTAGTATCCTCATTTTACAGACAATGAGGCTAAGGCACAGCGAGGTAAAGTGACTCACCCAAGCTCACACAACCAGTGAGTGGAAAACGTGGGACTCAAAGCCAGCTCCCTCTCAATTATTCTGCTAGGTGCTTGGTGAGTGTCTTAGCCACTAAATGGGAAGCCAGCATTTCCTCTGCTCCCTCCTTTATACTAGCTTATTTCTAGGAGGTTTTGACAGTTATATGTCCACAGCAGAGATGAGGAATCTGATTTATTCATTTCCAGGGAAAAGCAAACTAGGGGCTTGAGAGGATCTTCTTGGAGGAGTGCTTTGAAAGACCTATCTGGAAATAGATCTCTCTCTCTTGACTTCCCCATCTCCAATCACACTGCCTGGGGTCACTCCTTTATGAATTCATTCATTTTCCATCAGAGCTTAAAGCTCCTTTTGAAAATGTAGATTCAATAAAGCTGGGGTGGCGGTGGGTAGAAAATGTAGAATCTTCCAGCAAATATCAGCCCCCTTCATCCTTAATACCTTACTGGTCATAAAGACATCTGAACTTTCTCCTCAAGCTGCTGTTCCTTACTCTTCTTTTCACTTGTTCAAATTCAGTCCAGCTCAGGTCCAACCTCACCCCCAGGCAGGTTTTCCAGCCTCTCCCCTCTTATTCAGCCCTCTCCCTGCAGCAGCCACTCCAGTATTGCTCTTCTGAGGTGATGATCTATCCCAGGTTCCCCTAAAATTGTTCAAAGACAGCAGCATCTTGAAGATACAGGGTTCCTTGCAGAACCCCGTGAACTATGGTCGTATCTCATTTATGGTAACTAAACATGCAATTTGGGATGGTGAGATGCCAGTAAGTTTTATGAGATTCCAGGAAGACAAAAGATACAAGCATCAAAAGTTCTAAGAATAATTTATTTATTCGACATTGACCAGGCATCAGATTTGTTCTGGGCCGTGAGAACTCAGAAATACACAAGACTGAGCTGTGTTCTTGGAATGTCCAGTCTGATGGGGGAGCCAGTTATAATGTAGGGTGGACACAGGGAGAAGGTGAGGTTCTGTTGTAGGAGTTCAGATGAGGAAAATGCAGTCAGCCTTCAATAAGTGTCAGCTGTTTATTTGTTACAGGCTAGAAACAGATTCAGATTCTGGAGAGGACTTGGGAGACGAAAGGTTCTACATGCTTACTTTATTCTTTTGGCCTAAGATTGTGTTTTGGTACTCACTGGCTTAACTGGGAAGCTGGCCTTAAGAGATACAGCTGTGGCTGGGTGTGGTGGCTCACGCCTATAATCCCAGCACTTTGGGAGGCAGAGGCGGGTGGATCACCTGAGGTCGGGAGTTCGAGACCAACCTGACCAACATGGAGAAACCCCGTCTCTACTAAAAATACAAAATTAGTCAGGCATGGTGGTGCATGCCTCTAATCCCAGCTACTTGGGAGGCTGAGGCAGGAGAATCACTTGAACCCAGGAGGCGGAGTTTGCAGTGAGCCGAGATTGCGCCATTGAACTCCAGCCTGGACAACAAAAGCGAAACTCCCATCTCAAAAAAGAAAAAAAAAAAAAAGATACAGCTGCATGGTGGTTGGCAGAGCATAGTTAGGCAAACCTAGCATACCCAGAGGAATGATTTCAGGACTGACTGATTTTCAGATTTCAGGGCAGATAATGCTATGGAGGTGATGGAAATGACATTAAGTCACTGCTGTAAGTGGGAATATAATAATTTTCTAATGTGCTTTAAAGTAAAAATGTAACATCTAAACACTGAAAAAATAAACATCCTTAGAATACCTAACTTCATCTTTTGGATCTCAGCACAATGTGTATCACTCATTGGAAGATACCTCTCTTCCATGATAAATAATAATCACAATGGCCATGATAATGAATAAAGATGACAGACATGGGGCTGCCTATGTGCCGGGCTCTGCTCTAAGTGCTTTAACGTATGTTAGCTAATGTGATCCTAACAACAACCATATAAGGAAGTGCTATCATTTGCTTTGCAGACAGAGAACCTGAGGCAAAGGGAGGTTTAGTAACTTCCTCAAGGTCACACAGTTTGCATGTGGTAGAGTCAGATTTGAACACTGGCAGCCTAGCTCTAGAACCTGGCCTCTTAACAATTTCATTATGCCGTCTCTGCTGTTGCTGTCCTTTTCCTCTTACTTATGGTCACTTTGGGCTGGACGTTTTCACTGCATTCCTTGAGGATAGGAGTCTGGATAAGCACACAGTAGAAACTTAGTAAATGGTAGCTGTTATTCATCATTTAGAGTATACGAAACTCATTGCTATTCATTAGCTCAGTGAAACATCCTGGCTGCTTCAGGAGATGAGCGGGGAAGGTATGGTGGTCCCATTTTATAGCTGAGGAGACTGAGGTTCGGAGCATGCCAGTGACATGCCAAGGTCCCAAACTGGGAAGTAGGGAGCTGAAATCAAACTCCAAGTATCAGAGAAGGCAAGTCCAAGTTCCCTTCCCCTGGCAGAGCCTTGCCTGGTAACGTGGAATTGACTGATTAATAAATAAAACTTGTTGACTTGTCTTGAAAGCTTGCTTCGCCAAGTCCTACTGTGTCTTTTCCTAAGGAGGTTAGTGGGCTTCCCCACGACTGCCCTTTTCCTTGTGGGAAGGGATTTGTCAGTGCACATAGGCCGATCTCAGGGACCCAGCAATCCTTTCTCTCTCTGTCTCGTGTTCTTTCTCTTTCTCTTGCACGCCAATCTCTCTGTTTCGTTTACTTGTTCTATCTTTGACCGATTCCCTGTGATGAGTTGTGCTCCTGGAAAGCTGCCCTGTGACATTTCTTCCCTTTTGTGTCCCTGACAGTAGCATTTCCCTGGAGGCTCTTAAAGGAGAAGGAGGAGGGAGTGAGGAAGGCATGGACGCCCTAGCAGTGTCATCCAGCGACAAAGCCCAGTGTTCAGGCTAAAGCTTTGAGCATGTTTCCTTTCTCTTGTAGGGCACACACATGGTATTGTTCAGAACAGGTTGTAGTATGATTGAAGCACTGGGTTCTTTGTCTAAGAGGGAGCTCAGTCATGATTCCTAAAGCCGATTTGCTATGGGCTTCTTAATGTAGGGTCCCCTGGCAGACTTGCTATATTGGTTTCCTATGCTGCTGTAACAAATAACCACAAACTCTGTGGCTGAAGACAACATAGATTAATTATCTTACAGTCCTGGAGGTCAGAATTCCTTTAACCAAGGTGTCAGCAGTGGGGTTGTGTTCCTTCTGGAGGCTCTCAGGGAGACTCTTTTCCTCACCTTTTCCATTTTCTAGAGCCTGCCCACATTCCTTACCTGGTAGCTTCTTCCACCATCTTCAAGACCAGTAACAAAGCATCTTCATACCTCTCCCTACCTCTCTTTCTCTCTCTCCCCCTATACTTCCATCCACACCTTTCCTCTCTGACTCTGGCCCTCCAGCCTCCCTCCTATAAGGACCCTTGTGATTACATTGGATTCACCCAAATAGCCCAGGATAATCTCCCCACCTCAAGATCCTCAACTTCATCACACTTGCAAAGTCCCACTTGCCACTTAAGGTAATCTATTAACCCCTTTTGGGGATGAAAATGTGGACATCTTTTGGGGCCATTATTTTGCCTACCACACTTGCTAAGTGAAATGGGCTATCTCAGTGCCCATTTCCTTGGGAGACAGAAAAGCACAGAGGACCTTGAGATAAACTGTTCAGATTCACACCCCATTCTCCCCCTCTTCCTGGCTGTGTTATCTTGGGCAAGTCACTTGAGCTCTCCATGTCTGATTTCCTCATCTTGAAAATGGGTAAATAGCACAACACAACCTCCTTTCACTGTTGTCAGTCATGAATAGTGCTGGGGAGATAAAGCATGGCACCTGGTAAATAGTAAGCACCTGCCCCCTGCAAAAGGAGAGATGATTAGGAATTAGGAATGCCAGATAGCATAATGATCATAAATTCACAGGGTCTTGGTTCAAATTCCAGTCTCACCACTTATGAACTCAATGGCCTCAGGCTAGTTGCTTTAGGAGTCTCAGTTTCATAGAACAGAAATGAAACCATTATCATCCTGAAATGGGATTGTTGGGAGGATGAGATGATGCCGCTGCACATATACAAATTGTGCAGGAGGTAGTGGGTAGCATTTGTTGCTGTAGCTATTACTACCTTCATCATTTCCCATCCTCTTTGGGGTGATGGAAAGTCTTACTGGGCTGCCTCTGCTCCATAAAACAAGGGTAGAGCAAGGCAGCTTGCTGAATTGCGGCCTGAGGAATCTTCGCAATGTTCTATCATTGAATGAAGCCTCGAGAGAGTCAGACCCTGGCCGGGCTCAGCCTTGAGAAGTCTGGGTTTTGAGGTGTCTCCCTGCTGCAGTGCCACAGGCTGGTGGAGTTTACAGCAGCAGCTGGTTCTTTGAACAAAGGGTTCTCCAGAAGCACCCGGGACAGAAGAGGGGTTTGGCAGTGGTGACCAGGGAGGTGGGCAGGATGGGGCAAGGTCCCCTGACAAGACAAGGCTAGTTCCTAGATGGCATGGTGACCAGAGAGGGTGGAGAGCTCAGGTTTCAACCATATTATTATTTTTTAATTTTGGTGCAAAATCCTTGTTTCAATGAAGGCTTGGGCAGATGCCCAGTATGCAAAACAGTTAAAAGCACCACTAACTGTTCTAGTTGAAACCAGAGTGGAGGGTCAGTTGAGGCCTCTTTTCATTTCCACAGGGGCCTCTAGGGGGCCTGGTTTAGGAAAAACTGACAGGGTCATGAAAACACAGGCTTTGGAGTCAGACAGACCTGAGATTTGCATCCCTGCCTCTGCTGCTCCCTGGTTGTGTGAGTTTGGGGGCTTCACATCATCTGTCTGCTTCTTGTCTGCAAATGGGGCAGTAATAGCACCCACTTCAGGTAGCTGTGAAGTGTGGGGATAATCACTGTAAAGTGCTTAGTACAATGCGTGACACATGGCAAGTGTCTAGGTATGCAGCAGGTGGTAGCTATTGTCATTCCCTAAGGGAGAGCTGAATTCATGAGAGGCCCTCCCAGAATACATGCCTAATGGCTGGGGAAGCTGTGAGAAATTCTTTGGGATTGGAAGCCAAGAGGCCTGGGAACTACTTGGGTTCTGATTCCACCACCAGCATCCTAAATGACTTTCATTTCTCCCTGGGCTTCTTGAATCACTCTTCAAATGTTTATTGAGGCAGCCAGGTGTGGTGGCTCACACCTGTAATCCCAGCACTTTGGGAGGTCGACGTGGGCAGGTCGCTTGAGGTCAGGAGTTCGAGACCAGCCTGACCAACATGGCGAAACCCCGTCTCTACTAAAAATACAAAAATTAGCCAGGCGTGGGGCGCATACCTGTAGTCCCAGCTATTTGCATGGTTGAGGCATGAGAACGTCTTGAATCCAGGAGGTGGAGGTTGCGGTTAGGCGAGATCTCACCACTGCACTCCAGCCTGTGTGACAGAGCAAGACTCTGTCTCAAATAAAACAAACGATATTGTTTATTGAGGGTTTCCTATGTGCCTGGGACTGCCCTAGGCAATAGACCACAGGTCCTGGCATCTGAAAGGCTTGCATTCTATACTCAACTCTGCTACTTCCTAGCTCTTTGATTATGGACAAGTCAATTCTCGTCTCTGGTCCCGAGTTTCTCCATCTGTAAATTGAGGACACTGAATTTATGTCACAGGATCATCCCAGAAAATATTCGATGAAAATTTTCCCCTCAAACTTGTAGAATGCATTTGAAATGAACTCTGAGAGACATCCTGGAGCATGTTCTTTGGAATCATACGACACTGAGTTTGAATGCTGTGTCTGTAACTTACTGTGAAGCCTTGAGCAAGGAATTTTATTTCTTGAGTCTAAGTTTTCTCATTTGCAAGATGGGAATAATACTAGTGTCCTGAAAGGGTCATGGTGAGGACTTCAGAAGATGATACATGTAAAGTTCCTAGCAGAAGAGCTGGCACATAGTAGGTTTTCAATAGCAGCCATCATTGCCACCACCACCACCACCACCATAATCATCACCATCAACAT
Source organism: Homo sapiens (assembly GCF_000001405.40). NCBI lineage: Eukaryota > Metazoa > Chordata > Mammalia > Primates > Hominidae > Homo > Homo sapiens. Next base: position 112,789,720 of record NC_000012.12, read on the forward strand.
CATCAGCATAATCATTGTCAATCAACACCATCACTATAATCATCACTATGATTACCATCATGATGACAATTACTACCACCACCACCACCACCACCACTGAGGCAGGTGGTTCATTTGAGGCGAGGAGTTCAAGACCAGCTGGGGCAATATAGTGAGACCCATCTCTGCAAAAAAAAAAAAAAAAAAAAAATTAGCAGGGTATATTCGTGTGCACCTTGAGTCCTAGCTACTGGACAGGCTGGGGTGGGAGGATCACTTAAGCCCAGGAGTTCAAGGTTTCAGTGAGCTATGATTGCACCACTGCGCTCCAGCTTGGGTGACAGAGTGAGACACTGTCTTTTTCTTTTTTTTTTTGAGATGGAGTTTCACTCTCGTTGCCCAGGTTGGAGTGTAATGGTGCAACCTCGGCTCACTGCAGCCTCTGCCTTCCAGGTTCATGTGATTCTCCTGCCTCCACCTCCCGAGTAGCTGGGATTACAGGTGCACACCACCATGCCCAGCTATTTTTTTGTATTTTTAGTAGAGATGGGGTTTCACCATGTTGGCCAGGCTGATCTCGAACTCCTGACCTTAGGTAATCCACCTGCCTCGGCCTCCCAAAGTGCTGGGATTACAGGCATGAGCCACCGCGCCTGGCAGAGACACTGTCTTTAAAAAATTGTTTTTTAAATGAGCTCTAAATGTTCTCATTTTAACTCCTGGGTCTCATGGGGAGAAGTAAGTGACAAATGTAGTAGTTAACCCTGGGCCATCTGGATGGGAAGCTTTAGATATGAGTCTCCAATAGAGAGAGTTCTCCTTCACTTTGCAGAGAAGTTCTAAGCAGATCTTGGTCTGTTTGAGATTTCCTGGCCTTTTTCCAATTTGAGCCCTTTCCCAAAGTTAGGAGGAATAGGACTCTTGAGATATGGAGCACTGGGAGCCATGGGAATCCATTCATCTTTATATATTTCCCCTTTTGATACTTTTATTTCATTGTCCATATAGTGAATTCACTTCAGAAAGCCAGTCTGGATCTTTCGGGGAAGGCTCTTTGGCCAAGGCTCAATGGTCTGATTTAGACCTAAAATTTCCCTTCATTCTACTCAAACCACCTGCTGAAGGGTGAGGTTGGCACATGCCATCCTAGCTGGGCTGTCAATTCCTTTATCACTCTGTCCAAACATTTGTGTTTTAGGACAGGTTATGGACCATGAAATCATGGCAGTTCACAGCTTGGGTATTCTTATTGTTGCATTTTAACCTCTTGCTTCCTATCTTTAGGAAAAATAAGGTCATTATGTTATCATTTTCACAGATGGGACTTGGAAACATTAAATGACTTTTCCAGAGTTGTAAGGGGGCTGGATCTGACTTCCAGAAAACCATCAAGTGCTTATTCAACTAAGCCACCCTGCCCCTTAGAAATTTCCATTTCTTAAGCCTCAGCTTTTCTGCTCTGAATTCTGAGAAACTCCAGGTACAGGTCAAAAATCTGCAGCAATGGGGGTGAGGACAGGTCATCTGGGCGAAACTTTGAGGGGCAAAACCACTTAGGGAGCCCCCCACACCGGTGCCAAGCTCTTGTCTGAGCAGAGAGGAGCAATGCAGGACTGGGGGCGTGTGGGAGACAGGGGCTGTGAAGTTATAGTTCCTTTGCTCTGAGAGTGAGCGACAGTATTAGAAAAAGTGTGTGGTAGGTAAGCTGTCACTGACTAGACTGTGTGATGTCGAGAAGTCCCGTCCCCCACCCCTCCGGACTCCCCCCTTCTCTGCTTTAACCATCCAATTACTTAACTTCTCTGCCTAGGGGTTCGCTTCCCACCCATCCCCTCCTCCAAGGCATCTTAGCGCTGTCCGTGGTGCTGACCGCCAATCCCCTGGTTGCCGTTTCGACCAGCTGGGATCTCTGGTGCGCCCAACCTCCCCTCCCGGCCTCCCACCTTTCTTTCTCCAGGCACCGCACACATAAATCACGGGTGGGAGGCAGGCTTGGTTCCCGCTTGGTTCCCCCTGCACTGGGAAGCTGCCGCCCCGCTTCCCTTGCTCACACAGGGCTTTGCAGTAGTGGTGGCAGCCGCGGCAGAAACTGGCTCTGGGGAAGCAATTGATTCGTCTACTGCCAGCAGCCCGGAGTTGCCTACGCGGACTGGAAAGGAAGGGAGAAGGGAGAGAGAGAGAGAGAGAGAGAGAGAGAGAGAGAGAGACTCACAGAGCTAAAACCTTCATCCATGTGGAGGACAGTCTGAGGGAGCCACTGTCCCTTGTCCACTGACTCACTGGCTGGTCCGAGTTTTCTCCGCTTCTGGCAGTGGTATTTCTTTTTGTCTTGGTCCTGCATGATTTAGGGGTAGTTGATGTGTCTGTGTGTCTACGTGTGTGCACTGGTGCTTTGATTTTATTTTGGGAAGAGTAGGAGAGTCAAATGAACAATTTTCTTTCAGGCACCTCCGCTGAGCTTTTAAACCAAGTCATTGGGACTTAGCGTCTTTCTACCCGGCAGGGAAGGGAGGAGTTGGCAAGAATTTGGCTCACCCATTCCCCCTGCAAGCCTCCAGCGTCGCGGTAAGTGATATTCTCCCGGGTTGTGCAGATGGGCTAGGGGTGTTGGAATCCCAATTGTGATGTGTGTTCATGAGCTGGTGGGGTAAAGGGTAGTTGGGAGGAGAAGGGTATCGAGGAACGACTATGCTTATTTGCCTACATCCTGCAGTGTTTTATCACCTAAGCGGCATCCCAAAGCCAAATGAGATTTTGGCTTAGTGCCCAGGGAGGGGGTAAAATGTGCTCATGTTGTAGGCAATGCGATCAAGATTGTGGCTTCTGCCCAATTTGCCCTCTCCTTTGCAGCAGAAGCTGGTGAAAGTAGCCGGCAGTTCTCTGAGAGAGTTAACCCTTCGTGGGGCTGGCTAGTCTAGCATGGAGGGACTCTGGGTACTCTGACTTAGCAAGTGAGTGCTTATCCCTGGAGGGGAGGGGGTCACCTGAGACTGGAAGGGTAACTTTTGCCTGGGCACACTGGGTAAGATTTGCACAGGACAGAGCTTAGATTGTACCCTCTTCTAGGAACAGCTGAGTAATTTAATTGTGGTGATTTTTGCGAGGTTGGCTGTTCACGCTTTCCTGAGATGGAAGACCTGGGAGCCAGGAAAGGGCCACACTATGCCTGGGATGAGTGGTCAGGCTGGCCAGAAGGGAGCAGCCACTGCCTGCAGAGGAGATGATGTTTTATTTTCACAGGTGGCGTAACCTGTAAGTGATTGTATGGGGGAGCGTCCTGGCACTAGCTTGGGAGATTCTATCCTTGAGTTCATCTCAGAAGGAAGGAGGGGAACAAAGCTTGTTCAAATTCTGGGGAAAGATTCCAGGCTTCAGCTTCAGTTTTGTTCCAGGGTAGACCGTCCCCCTGCACTAGTTTCTTTTTCCAAGATCCTGATGGGGAAAGGCTGCACCAACCTGTTAGTGAGTGGGAAGTGGAAGTACCTTGAAATTGAATCCAAAAGCTCACATTTAATTTTGAAATGCTTTTGATGCTAATCTGCTACCCATCAAAAGGGGATTTCACTTTGCTTTCTGCTTTGATTACATCTACTTTTCTGGAAATGAATGCCCTTGTTTTTAGCATTTTTGCTATTATCTCAGGGGCCACCTCAGTGTTCTGCACCCCCAAGGATTTCCTTTTTAGATTCTTGCTCTTGGAGGTGGGAGGAATAAAACAACAGTCAGAGATTGGCAAGCCTGAAATATAAGCAGGGTTCACTCATTCTTTTTTTCTCTAGCCCCATAGCTAAGAAGAGATGCTGAAATCCCACAGCATGTGCCTGCTCAGGCAGGACATATGAGGCAGAAGAGGAGGGTTGTCTGGTGGTTAGTGTCAAAGATTTGGTTCTCAAAATCCCTAACTTCTCTTCCTAGCTTCTCTTGCTGGGTGACCTTGAGGAGGAAGTTGCCTTAGATTCCTCACTGGGAAGACTTGAGTGTGAATAATGAATGTGTGGAAATTTTGTTCAAAAAAAGAACCACATATCTGGCTATGGGTGATATTTAAAGTATTGAAATTTGGTACTAATCGATCAGAATGGCTAGGGTCCTGGAATAGGGCATCTTAGGGGGCCCCTGCTGTACTGAGTGTTAATCTTTTAATTGCTGGATTATGGAGAGGTTTGGGGGGATCTTAGGGGGCTATCAAGAGAGCCACGAGGCCTCAGGGCAGCATCCCCATTTAATTTTAATATTTATATTTTATTTTAATATTTTTAACAACTGGTTTAGCCATGCAGTACAGGCCAGCCCAGCTGGGATAGCTAATACTTGGGTGTCCAGATGTGGACACTTCCCAAATATCTCTCCACTGGGTCACTTCCTTAGGGATGGCCAAGATCCAAGAGGCCGCCCTCCCTCCTCCCCCATCACATTTGAAGTGGTGCATTGTGGTGCACCAGGGAAAGGGAAAGAGAAGCTTCTGGAAAGAGCCTTGGACTTGGGTCAGGAGACCTGGGTTCCAGTCCCAGCTGTCTCCCCTTTCTGGGCCTCAGCTTCCCCATCTATGCAATGGGGCAGTCTGTCTGGGTGGCCCTAAGTCCCCTTCAAGTTCTGGGGTTCTCTGACTATGAGATAGGTATGTGTGTGAGTGTGAGTGACTGCACATGCCCACATTTCTAGGAAGGGTTAGCACTGTGCTTGAGAATTTATCCTGTGTCGGGGAGAGGCCCTGTTTGGGGTGATTGGGGATAGGGGAGTCTCTTGTGAGAACTTTGCTAGGTTTCTAGAATCCTGAGCTCAGCTGGAAAGGGGTCTGCTTTATTTATGGCCTCAGATGCACAGAGATGTAGATTTTGCAGCACTTGAAGGCTCCAAAGAGACTCTTCTCAGGAGTAGCAGCAAGGACTCCTTGGAGAGGCTCTGCTCTGAAAAGATGCATATACACACAAACACACAACATCAGGGGGTTAGTGGATCCTCAATAATGCCCATGTGAGCACCCCCCCAAGTTCAGGACCTCTGATTTAGTCTAACCCTTTCCAGGGGGGCCCAGAGAGGAAAAACAATTTGCCCAAGACCACACAGTAAGTTATGGCAGCAACATATAAACCCACCATTATGAAGACCAAGGCATCATCCCCTCACTCCTGGCTCCAGCAGCCCCTACTCCCCCAGTCCAGCCTGAGGTACAGAGGAAGGATGTTCAGCAGTGTCTCTCCAGCCCGTGCTGGTAATCAGGAAGCTTAGCCATGGAGACAAATGTGGACATTTCCTTTCTTGTTGGCAGGAGAGAGGCAGCAGACAGAGATTCTGTGATTCCACAGGGGTAGCCTGGAAAGTCAGTGCCCCCAGCCTACTCTGCCTTTCTCCTTCTTATTGCTCCGTACACAGACTGGCTGCTTTGTCTGAAGATGTGCATTTGGTTGGGGTGGCTGCTCTTGGGCTTTCTTTGTAGGCTGTGACATTATGCTTTAACTCTTTCCCTCTCTGTGAATGGGTCCTACAGAGTTTATGGCTTTCCAATAAAAACCACCATGACACATGGACCTGTCTTCTGCCCTTCACCCTCATTCAGTGGGGAGCTGATTGTAATTGCAGATAAGCCAGGAATTGATGTGAAGCCAATGAGAAGAAAACAGTGTGGTTTATTTCTGTTAAGAGCTGTGGCCATAATCTGGGATAAAAATAATTCTGGGACCCAGTCATGGTGGGCTGAAGCTGATGATTTTAAATAATTCAGCTGCCACCCAGGATGGAGAGCCTTGATGTGCTGAAAGAGTGAAGGAGGTACTGCAGAAATAGCCCCCTTCTTTCTGTGCCTCACACCTATCTACCTTCTTAACCAGCCAGGGGCTGCAGTGTGGGCTCTGGGGGCGGTCAGATCTTAGTTCTAATTTTGACTCTGGCATTTCCTTGCTGTGTGACTTCAGACAAGGCCCTTAATCTCTCTGAGCCTCAGTTTCTTCAATTAGGTGTATTAGGGTAGCATGATATAGGGATTAAGAGGATGGGCTCTGGAAATAAATTTCTTAGGGTTAGATCTTGATCCTAGCACTTTCTGATTGTGTCACTTCACCTCTCTGGACCTCAATTTTCCCATCTACAAAATGGGAATAAGAATGCAGTTGTGAGAATTTTAAGAGTTAATGATCACTTTATACTGAGTCTGGCAAGGAGTAAATATCCAACAAATGTTCGCAATCGGGGCGATGTTGGTGATGGTAACAGTGAAATCACCCCTGACCAAAACAAAAGTAGGGTGAGGTAGAGGAAGGTGAGTTCTTTGGGCTAGTTGTGTAGCTGTATGACTCACAAGAGGGAGGACAAAGCTTGGAGACAGGAGCTGCCAGCCCCTCTTGTTCCCCACTGCAGTTCCCCAGTTGCTGCAGGTCCCCATAACTCAGTTTCTTCATCTGTGAAATGGGCAAAATGACTCCCTCTCTGTTTGGCTTGTGAGGCTCTAAGCAACTAGCAGGGGAGTCATGAGCCTGGGGGGTAGGCCCCAGAGAAGAATTCTAGGAGGAGAAGCACTGGTGACCACTCAGTCTTTTGTTCCTTCAAGTCCCTGGGAGGTTTTTGCTGAATCATCCCAGGCTATAAGCTCTGAGCCGTGTATTTTCTCTAGGAAACCTGAGCCTTCCTTCCCTTCCCTGGGAAATGCCTATGGCACTTCTTTGTAGGAGTCCTCAGGTGCTACAGGGTGAGATCCTTAAGGGCCAAGGCTGTGATATCTTCATTTCTGGTGTCCGGGTCAGCACCCAGCAGGTGCTCAGCAATGACTTACTGAGTGAATGAATGAATGAAGCTCAACTGATTTACTAGCGAACATGTCAGTTTGGGGCCTGTGGTCCAGCCAGAGGCCTGCATACAGTAGGTGCTCAGTTAGTATTGATTATGATGAGTCAGTCGTTGGTGAAAGGTTTGAAAGGACTTGGCTCCTGCCTCAGATTTGCTACAGGCAAAGGACAGGCCTCTCTCTCTTCCTGCCATTGCTATTTATCATGCATTGCACATTTATTGACTACCTACAGTATGCCTGGCACCATGATGGGCATTGGGAATAAAATGGCAATAAAGACACAGTCCTGGCCCGGTGGGGTGGTTCATGCCTGTAATCCCAGCCCTTTGGGAGGCCAAGGTGGGTGGATTACTTGAGGTCAGGAGTTCAAGACCAGCCTGGTCAACATGGTAAATCCCAGTCTCTACTAAAAATACAAAAATTAGCTTGGTGTGGTGGTGTGTGCCTGCAACCCCAGCTATTTGGGTGGCTAAGGCAGGAGAATTACTTGAACCCGGGAGATAGAGGTTACAGTGAGTCGAGATCACACCACTGCACTCCAGCCTAGGGTAAGACTCTGTCTCAAAAAAAAAGACACGATCCTTTTTGGGACTTAGATAAAGTAAGTGGCTACCTACATAATGTGATCTTTGGTGGGGGGCTGTGGTACAAAGAGGGCTCCCCGAGTCACCCAAAGATATTCAGTTCACTGATACCTGAAATTTCCATCATTCAAGTTTCATTCTTTTTCTTAAGGCTCTGCTCTTGGTTAAAGAGCAGATGCTTTGGAGCGAGTTAATGCATCCAGCCTTATTAGTCATTCACACTTTAATGAGAAGCTATAAGAGCCTTTCCTAAAAGTGAAGCAGGCTTGGTTTCTTGGAGCAGGGGGAGGGGGCTGCATTACTAGGCTTGTAGGCAAAAGAGGGGCAAAGAACAGAGAAAGGTGGATGTTGCTGGATTTACATTCTGTTGGGGGGTAAAAAGCTCTTGATGCCCGGAGTCATCTGATTTCCTTTCTGCTACTGAATCCCACAGGAGTGTGACCTGGATTTAGCATGTCGCTCCCATTCCCTGCTAACCTCAGACAATTCCAAGGAGTCACTTTTTGCTAGGCAGGACCCCAGGACTCAGTTTCTCAGGTAGATTTGTGGCAAGGCCTTAATAATCAGCTGTCCAGCCAGGCTAGGTCTTTGGGATTTGCAGGCGGTGGCTTTGAGAGTGAATGAAAAAAAAAATTTTTTTTTTTTTGATAGGATCTTGCTCTGTCACCCAGGCTGGAGTGCAGTGGCGTGATGATCATAGCTCACTGCAGCCTTGAACTCCTGGGCTCAAGCGATCCTCTTGTCTCAGCCTGCCAAGTAGCTGGAAGTACAGACACGACCATGCTGGGCTAATTGTTTAATTTTTTGTGAAATGGAGATCTCTCTATGTTGCTCAGGCTGGTCTCAAACTCCTGGGCTCAAGCTATCCTCCTGCCTCGGCCTACCGAAGTGCTGGGATTCCAGCCGTGAGCCACTGCACCCAGCCAAAAGTGATTCTTCTTAGCCCAACTCTGCTCCCCATTTGGGCCAGGAAAAGAGGGAAGGCAGCAGTGCTGAGGGCCCAGGCTGCTGTATGCAATGTCACTGTGGTTTCCTCGAAGTAATTGTCTTGCTGTCATTGGTTTTAATGATATAACACACGCTTAAATCTCTTTGTAATGGAGCTCTGTCAGACTCTGGTTTAGTAATCCATCCAGTGAGCAAGATAACATGCCTCAGGAAGCTGGGTTTTTTACCACCCCCTGCAATTAATCAACAAGAGGAAACTCATCTGACAGCATCATAATGATGTTTGGTTCATGAAGGATTTATTTAGAGAGCGAGGGGGGGAAATATCTTCTCATCTCTCAATATAATCTGAGTGAGTTCATTCAGCTGCATTTTTCTTTCTTTTTCCTCTCTTTCTTTTCCTTTTCTTCCTTTTTAATGCACCTACACAATGACGAGTGGTGACTTGTGAATGGAAGCAGCTTTCAGCAGAGAACATATTATGTAAGCAGGTTTTGGTGCCAGCCATTGATGGCGGGGCGGCATTCTGGGGCTGCAGAGAAGAGAGATGGTTTCTCGAAGTTCGTTGGGAGGCTTTTCATGCAAGGTGCTGCCAAATGGCATCTGTGTGGTCCGCTCCATTGCACATCTTCCTCCCTGCCCCCTTTCCCCTTTCCGTCTCTGCCTTCCTGTGTTTTTCCTCTGTCACTGTGGTGCTAAGCCCCTAAGTCTCTGTCTTTATCTCTCCCCCTCTCTCTCCTTTTTCCCTGCCCCTGTCTCCTTACTTTTCCCACCCCTTAAATAATTCCCTGCTTTCTCCTTGCAGTCTCTCTTTTCTCCCCATCTTTCCCTCTCTCCCTTTCTCTCTCCTCTGCCCCTGGCCTCTCTTCCTTTCCTTTTCTCTCTCTCTCTCCGTCTTCCTCCTCTCCTAACTCCTCTGCCTTCCTCATCTCATCTTTAAGACACACAGAAATTACTTGTAAAGGGAATGCATTTGTGAATTCATGAGACTCCAGGTGATGAGGGCTCCAAGTAGGGTCACCAACCATTCAGCTTTGCTTGGAGCTGAAGGGGGTCCTGGGATATAGGACTTTGTGTTAAAACTGAGAGGCAGACCAGGGATGATGGCTCGCACTTGTAAATCCCTGCACTTTGGGAAGCCAGGGCAGGAAGATCGCTTGGAGCCAGGAGTTTGAGACCAGCCTGGGCAACATGTGAGACTCCTGTCTCTATAAAAAAGTTAAACAATTAGCTGGGCATGGTGGCACACACCTGTAGTCCCAGCTACTTGGGAGGCTGAGGCAGGAGGATCACTTGAGCCCAGGAGGCTGAGGCTACTGTGAGCTGTGGTTGTGCCACTGTACTACAGCCTCGGTGACAGGGTGAGACCCTGTGTCTAAAACAAAACAAAACAACAACAAAAAAGAATGGAAAGAGTACTGGGCAAACTGTGATGAGTTGGTCATCTTACCTCCAAGCCAAATGCTTGGAATTTTGTAGAATTTTCAAAAAGCCAAAGATTCAGCTTTCTGGGTGAGTTGCCTGCCTTTCTGCTCTGGTGGCACACAGTGGTTCTGAAGCCCTCCCAGGCTTGGCATTCTCTGCATGGCTCCGGCATGGACTATCTAGACACACAAAGGCCTTTCCCTCAGAGCTCAGAGGTCAGTCATGGGCAGGAGACTTACTCCCTTCACCTTCCCTAACCCCTGTCCCTGACAAGACTGATCACCCAGCTAGTTATTCGCTCATTGGTCACCCGGGGGATATAGGGTAGAGATTGCAGATGGTTCAATGCCCAAGCTTCTCAAACTTGAGCCTGCATCAGAACCCCTTGCAGGAGTTGTTAAAACACGGAGTTTGTGATTCAGTGGGACTAGGATGGAGCCTAAGAATTTGCACATCAAACGAGTTCCCAGGCAGTGTTGATGCTGCTGGCCCAGGGACCACACTGTGAGAACCCCTGCTCTAGACTCATTCCCCCATTCCCTCCTTTCCAGACAAGTCTTGTACACTGTTCTAGGCACTGCAGACTCAGCAGTGAGGGAGCCGGAGTTCCCTGCCCCCTGAAGCCGACAGCCCAGTGGGTGGCAAAACCAATAAACAAGTAAACACATAAACAAGAAAACTCCAGACCGCGTGAAGTGCCATGAAGGAAGGAGATAGGAAGACTCGATGGAGAATGACAAGTGATGGGTTGGGGGAGGGAGGGGCGAGACTAACTTATAAAAACAGCAGCCAGTGGAGGCTGAGTTTCTAGGAGGAAATAGCCATGAGTAGATGGTGAAGGGAGGGATGAGCCACACCTGGGAAGTGGGGGCAGTAAGTGCAAAAGCAGAGACAACTGTGGTGGCCCCAAGGGACAGACAGTCGGCTGGTGTGAGTGGGGTGAGGGTCACGTGATGGGGACAAAGGGAGACAGGAACAACAGGTTCAGATCAGGACCTCCAGATCTGGTTAGACAGGACCTCCCAGGGTAGCCAAGGAGTCTGGGTTCGATTTTATTTTGCAGGGAGCGTTTTATGCTAGAGTGATGTGACCTAATTTACAATGTTAGTAATGATTGTTTTGGTCTCTGAGTGGAGAGGGGAGTGCAGGAGGTGGGATGGAAGCCAGGGGACCAGTGAGGGGAGCTGTGATGGGGCAGGGACCAGGTGGTAGCAGAGAAGAAGGTGGTGACATTTGGGGTGAATTCTGCGGGAGTGCAGACGGGCTTTACTGATGGATCAGACATAAGGGGAGAAGGCCAGAGCAATCAGGGTCCACTCCAGTGGGACTGGAACTATTCCTGGCAATGGTGCAGCAGTTGTGATCCTGGGGACATGGAGAGGGGCCTTGGCTGTAACCAAGGGCCAATGGGTTAAGAGACAAGAACCCAGCAGTGTGTGCAGAGTCAAGGCCGTTCAGGGAGCTCTGCAAATGCCCGTTCCACGCTAGCTAAAATGCACGGTTCCCCTCTCCCCGGAAGAAAAGGCAGCAGCGTGGGTTTTTTGTTTTTTTTTCTTTTCTCTCCCATGAATAGTGGCTGGATTAATCTATCAGCATGAAGCAGGATATCGTAACTTGGCAAAGGGGATGACACCCTGTGAAGTGGCAAGCTGGGGTGTCTGGCCAAGCCTTTCTCCAGGGGCTGCGGGAAAGGCTGCTGGATGTGATGGAAGACGTGAGCTTCTGGTGTCTGCAGCTTCCTCTCTGATCTGATCTGAACCTGTTGTTCCTGGAGCTAGCTAGGCCCATTCAAAAAAGAACCAGCCGGACTGGGCTTGCACCTAAGGATGAAAGCAGGAGAAGCCAGCATTTGGAGCAGGAGCTGGGCCCTTGGCGGGGAAGGAGACTCATCACACAGAGCATGCAGCAGGCTTGCCTTTCAGATAGAACCTGCCGCTGTTTCTGTAGATGTTCTTTCTTCCTTTTTCTTTTCCTTGGAAGGGTTTATCTGACTGGGCAGGCCTATGTAGCCAGCCTTGGCCAACTTCCGCAGAGGGGTCCAGGCATGTCTTCTCATCTGAACGATGGATAAGTGCTTCGAGGAAAGCTCCCGAGGGAGAAATAAATGGTGCACACTCGTGTTGGTGACCCGGAGGGGGACTGTGGTTTTAATTATAATGAGAGGGGAACTGGCCTCATTTGTAGCCTGTCTGTTATTCACGGAGGACTCTTGGGCTTTGTAGATTAGAAGAATCTTTGTTAGGGTGCGAGATGATGAGAGTTGAGTTATTTTTCCCTTCCTGGTACACAGCCATCATTGATCCTTGCCCGCCTCTTCCTCCATTTTTCATTATTTATCCTCTTTTTTCCTCATACCCCATTCCCCTCCATTCATAGACAACCCTATTCTACTCTGTTTATGCGTATTTCTATTGCTTGTATATGTCCCTTCAAAACAGTATTTTTATAGATCTCATAGGTTCTCACTTCTTTTCCACTCAGCAGTATGTTTTTAAGATCCATCCACGTTGCAAGGTGGCATCTAATCTTTTGCTTCTAATTGTTGCTTTTCTCCAAGGCATCAGTCCCCTATTTTTTTCTCCATTTTTCTTATGTGAGTTTCCCTCCAGCAACCCAGAGTATTTCTGAAAATTTTTTTCTCTGCGCTGGCCAGCTGGGATTCTTTCAGGACAGGAAGACTCATTTTAACAGAGATTTAATGATTGTTTGGGCAACACAGGTAGATGCTTTGCTCTTTCACTTTTGATTCTTTGCCTAACAAATGCTGAGTGTCCTCATGACATCAGACACCATGCATGCATAGAGGGAGGCAGAAGAGAGCAGCTGGTTCTGGAGCTGGGTGGACATGGGTTCGAATCCTGCCTCTGCTACCTACTGCCTGTGTGACCTTTGCCAAAGTGACTTAGTCTCTCTGAGCCTCAGTTTCTTCTGTAAGATGGGGATAATGCTAGTATTCATTTTATAAGCCTGCTTGAGAGTGAAATAAGATGATGCCTAGTGTGCTTTGTGTGATTAAAGTTTTTTTAAACAGTCCCCTGGGTGGTTAGGTAAATAGATGTTTTTATCCCATCCAAGTTGTGCTGGGTCTGCCTGCTGTGCTGTGTGTGTATGTGCGTGAGTGTGTGTATGTGGTGCTGTGAGTATAGGGGGTATGGTGCGAGCATGTGTGTGTGAGTGGTGTGTGTGGGAATGTGTGAGTGCACATGTGTGTGTTCAGGAGTGGTCCCCTGGCTCAGGCTGAGACGTTGCCCCCCTCTTAAATGGCTACTTCCCACTCTGTGTGGAGAGACCCTGCTCCCATCTGGAGTAGCCATGCTGGCTCCTCATCACCTCTGTCCATTCCCCAGGGCCTCTGTCCACTCCCCAGGGCCTCTGTCCACTCCCCAGGGCCTCTGTCCTCTCCCCAGGGCCTCTGTCCTCTCCCCAGAGCCTGGGTTTCCTCCTGTAACACCGACGTTGCCTCTGAGAATAGATTGGTGAAAGCAGAAAGGCTCATTTTGTCCTGAACATGCTCAGAGGGTAAAAGCTCCAGCGGCTGGAAGTGGGAGTCCTTGAGTGGCCAGAGAGGCCCCCAGAAGCTGTCCAAAGCCTGGGATTGAGAAGACTCTAGATCTGAAAAATTCTTCCTCTGGTTGTCATGGCAGCGGGTCTGGATGGGAGCCTTTGTCCCAATTGGTTACTATGGGGTGGTCATTTCTGGTTAACACCAAGTGTGAGGGCAGCCCCAGGTCTCCACAGCAGGGTGGTCTCTGATGCCCTGAGGGGCTCCTCACCTGCTTCCAGTGTTACATCACCCTATTGCTAGAAAGGACACTGAGTTAAGAGTCTGTCCATTTGGGTACAAGTTCCAGATGTGCCTGATAATTCATCCTCTCCCTTTCTCCCAGATGGAGAGAGGGAGAGGATGAATTATCAGGGAGAGGATGAATTAAGGCCCATGGATGTCCATGTGCTTCTTCATGGAGTCACAGAGCACGCTGTGTAGGCTGCCCTGCCCTTTGGGTTACATGACTGACCTCCTTCAAACCTCATGAAGCCTTGGGAAGGAGATATTATTATTATTATTATTATTATTACAATTTTGCAGATGAGGACACAGGCTACAGAAGATAAGGAGGCCTCAGTTCCCCCAGTTTACACTGTCTACTTACTAATTGCAATTGTGAAGATAAAGCAACTTAAAAGTGCTTTTTAAAAAATAAATAATTAATATAATTAATCATAAAAATAAATAATAAGGCTCTACAGAAATTGATTCTTTAGTCTTCAGCTCCTTCCAGCTTGGATGCAATGCATGGACATCATTCCAATAAAGGATTGGACACACTGGCCAGGAGGAGGCAGTATGCGCAGTCCTTAGAAGCACGGCTGCTGTCCCCAGACCACCTGGATTGGAATTCCAGCTGCAATACTTGCCAGCCTGTGACCCTGGGCAAGTTACTTGGCCTCTCTGGCCTCAGTTTACTCACCTGTAAGATGGGAATAATAATAGTACCTCCCTCATAGAGTGGCTGCGAGAATTCCATGAGTTAATACAATATGAGGCACCCAGACACTGCTGGATACATGCAAGTTGTTTGTTATTGCATAGGACTTGAATTTTTTTAAAAAAATTACTTTTAGATTCAGTTTTGTTTCGCAATAACTTTTTGAAGAGGAGAGTTGGAATTACTTCCTCCATTACAGATGAAGGAACTGTGCCCCATAGAGGCAAACCAATTTCCCAAGATTGCAAGATTAGTTAGGAACGAAAACCAGGTTCAGTCATCAGGGATGACAGTGGCCAAACCATAAAGCTCCAAAGCATAGTGGGTCCACCGGGCCAACCACAGTCACAGACAGGCTGGAAAAAAGCAGATGGTGAATTTGGTGGTCTCAGGATCCTTCCCGGTGGATCCCATCAGGTGGGGCTGTGAGCACTTCCAGGTGGATGCAAGTGGTCACTGCACCTGCTCCAACCCACAGACCACCAGACCACCCAACAGTGCTTGCTTCCCAGAGGGTGGAAAGTTGAAACCACACCCCTGTGTGTGCCATCAGCAAACTGTTGGGCTCTCTGTTCTTTAGCCCCATCCATTGGTTGGTTGAAGCCTGGGATGTATGTGTGCACCAGGCAGGTGTGGCCCTCGTGACAGCTGGCTGGCTGGTGATAGAGCACAACAGTTAGGACTTCAGCACAGAAAGCCAGGCTCCCTGGGCTCACGTCTCCACTTCGCCCCTTCCTAGCTGTGCAGACTTGATTGATTACCACAGCCCCCCGTACTTCAGTTTCTTCCAGCTGCAGAGTGGGGATGCCGCTAATAACAGCAGATATCTCCTAGGGTTCTTGTAAAGATCAAATGGGTTCCTACCTCTTAGGAATGAACCTCTTAGGATGCTATCATTGTCATCATTATTTCATAGCAGCCAATACGAACTCTTTCTTTCGTCTTTGGATTTTCCTAATTCAGGAAGGCTCCTGAAGTTTCTTTACTTACGCTGGTGGTTTCCAAACTCAGATCTCGCCTGTGACAAAGTTTCCACTGGCCCTGGTGAAAGGAGAAGAACTAGGCATTTATAGGTGGGCAAAATGTTGCCGACCGAGTTTTCCTAGAAAAAACAAACAAACAAACAAACCTCTATCCTGACCATATCTCTTTTCTGCTTATTTAACGTTAAAATATATTTTTTAAAAATAAAACATTGCAATGTATGGTAGCATTTTTTTAAACAAAAGATTGGTGCCCCTTTTTTGTAAATAAAAACAACAACAATGCAAGTGGACAGCCCTAAATTTGGAAGAAAATTTTACTTATCTGAGAAATTCAAATGTCTGGGTGCTAATTTTGTCCAGTCATGAACCTTAGTGGTTATAACATTTAGTGTGTGTACGAATCTTCTGGGATTTTTTTTTTAATGCAGATGCTCAAGGCCTATCCCCAGAAATTCTGATTCAGAAGGGTTAGGGTCGCACCAGGAATCTGCAGTGTAAAGAGTTTCCTGAGTGATTCGGGAATGATTCATGGGTCATTCTGGGAGGAGGATGAATCCTCTTTTTCACTGCCTGGGAAATGGGCTTGAGTTTCTCCAGTGAGGGGACTCTGCACCCGCAGAGGTGCCCTGTGCATTGTCAGAAAGGGCCAGTTAGCTAGGTCATCCTTCCTGATTTGACTTAAGCCTGAGTCCCATCACTCTTGATTGTTTTGCCTTCTGGAGCCCAACTGAAGAAATAATATTCCTAAGACAGAGTTTGCTCGTTGACAGCCAAATGCACGTTAGGGGGCAGTTGTGTGAGGTTAAAAGCACATGTTCATTTTTTTAAAAAGGGGATAATTCAGAAGTGAATGTCTAGTCTCTGAATTGCTAGGTGGGACCTCCCTCAATCAACATATAATTATTCGTCTATTCATTTGATAAATATTTATTGACCATCTACTAACATGTAAATCACAGCCCCAAATATAACCTACAATGTTCATATTTTCCCAATAAAATGATGAATCTGTCTCTCCCTCCAAAAAATGTTTTGCCCAACTTGAATAAATAACCCATTAGGGATGTAAATGGACTTGTCAAATGTCTATTAGTATTTGATTCATTAATTGTATTGTACTCACATACTTAAAACCACATGGTTATATAAAATAAACCATTCACCCACACAACTGTTCTTTCAGCACCCATACATATTGAGGAAATAATTAAACCAGGAAAGTAAGGAAGGTTTTATAACTTTAGTAAAAGTCACTTACTGCAAATACCTTTTGTTGACAAATAGGAAAGGAAGAGATACCACTTGGAGTTGCATGATGGTTGAAAAAATTGAGAAAGAATTTGCTTAAACTATTTTGTTTTTAAAAAGAAAGCACATTGGGAGAAAAGAGAATGCTTAACAGTGTGAAAAACGTTTTAAGAACCTGGACAGAAAGTGATTTTCAGCTTGGTACACTGGCTCACGCCTGTAATCCCAGCACTTTGGGAGGCTGAGGTGGGCGGATCACTTGAGGCCAGGAATTTGAGACCAGTTTGGCCAACACGGTGAAACTCTGTCTCTACTAAAAATGCAAAAATTAGCCAGGCATAGTGGCAGGTGCCTGTAATCCCAGCTACTCAGGAGGCTGAGGCATTGCTTAAACCTGGGAGGTGGAGGTTGTAATGAGTCGAGATCACGCCACTGCACTCCAGCCTGGGTGACAGAGAGAGACTCCATCTCAAAAATTAAAAAAAAAACAAAAAAGAAGGAACTGATTTTTTGTTTTCTGAGGAATATTTGATTGGGAGAAATCCTCATCTTCTAGTTGGTCGTTTATAGTATGTGATATGCACTGTGCTCAGTGCTGGGATGTAGTAGAAAACAATTTAGATGTAGCATCTTCCTGTGAGCAGGTAGAAAATTATTCAAATGGCTGTATAATGATAAATGAAGGCAAAGATTCTAAAGAGAGGGGCACAATTCACAAAGAAATTTGACCTAATCTTGGAGGGCTTCCCAGAGGAAGTGATGTTCGACCTGAGATCTGAAGGATGAATAGGAGTTAACTGAGTAAAGAGAGGAGAAAAAAACAGTTTTCTTGGCAGTGGGAGCAATATGTACAAAGGCCCTGAGGTAGCAGTGCAGGATCTGAAAGAAGGCCAGCATGGTTAGAGTGTGAGATGTGAGGGTGAGATGAGGCGGGTGGTGCCTGCAGGACCATGCAATCAAGACAAATCAAGCAATTTGTCTTGATTCTGAGAGCAATGGGGTCTCACAAGCAGAAGGGTGACCTGATGTGATCCATATTTTGAAAAGCCCATCCTGCCTGCAGTGCAGGGTTCACATGAAGGCAAGAACTTGGAGAGGCTTGATGAAAACTTCAAACTGGCCCAGAAAGGGCTGCATTTACAGGCTGAGCCCTCCACCCTCCACTCCTCTTCACAGCACCAACTACCTGGAAATGAAGAGGACAGTAGGACCCCTCTCTACCCAGAGGGAGATTTTGTTGTGCAATCTACCACAGATGTGGGGCCCCTTCCTGAGAAGCAAGGGGCTCAGAGTAGAGGAAGGGGGTAGAAATAATTGCTCATCTATCTGTGTTCAGGTTCCAGCTCTGCTGCTCTGTGGTCTTGAACGAGTTACCAAATCTCTCTGCATCTCAGTTTCTTCATGTGGGAAATGAAGATAACAATAACAACTACCTTATTGGGTTGTTTTGGGAATTTACCAAGTCAATATATTATGTTTGCTTGGACCAAAGCTTGGCACTTTGTAGGTGCTCAGTAAACATTAGTCACTCTTATTTTGATGATGATGATGAAATCTCTGAGCTTGATGTTCTGGAAAAGGTCCTGTTAGTCCTTTGCACCTTCTGTCCACTACCCACCTCTTCCAGATCTTTCTTCAAATGTCATCTTATTTAAAATTTTACCTCCCTCCCCAGAACTCTGCCTCCTCCTTCTCCATTTTCCTCCCTGGCACTTGGCACCGTGTACCTGCTATCTACTTTAATTATTTACTTTGTCCATCATCTATTTCCCCCCACTAGAATGTCAGCGCCACCAGAACAGGATAATTTGACTGTTCTATTTACCACTATATCTCCAGTACACTATCCCCTAGTGTCTGGCATGGAGTAGGTGCTCAGTAAGTATCTGTTGGATAAATAAACACTAACAGTCAACCTAATGATCTTTGCTCTTATTCAAAACCTTACCCTCTCCCCAGATGACTCTAACTAACCTAATGGGTCATTAAACAGCAACACCAGCAAAGAGGGGAAAAATCCCCAAGCCTTAGAAGGGATGCAGGATGGGGCAGGGAAGGTGTGGAGGCTCTGGGGATTTTAGTGATGGAGAAGAACGTGAAGGTCTTTTATGAAACCAGCTCTGCAGCCTGATCTTTCTAACCTGATTAATCACATTAAGCCTTTGTCAATATCAACATTACCTCAGCCCCAGCCGCGGCAGCTGGTGGAGCGGCAGGCTTATTCAATATTTAAGAAGACCTGCATTGCAGGCAAGGGTTTGGGCCGCTGGTGGAAGAGCAAGCAGTAAGTGCTCAGGGGCAGTCTCTTAAGTGGTGGATTATTTTTTAAAAGGAAAGAAACAAGAAAAGGGAAAGGCAACAAGCCCTCAGCCTCCCCTGGCTTTCCCCAGTTTCTGGTAGAGGTTGAGCAGCATGCCTGAATTACTAGCTGTGATTCAGGACAAGACAGTGTTGCTAGAAGGGAAACCATGAACCAGAACATTTGGTCTCCTGGGTTTGATTTTCTAGCATTGCATAAAGTGGCGGTTCTCAGAATGCAATCCACAGACCAGCAGTACCGGTATTGCCTGGAACTTACTAGAAATGCAAATTCTTGGGCTCTGTTCCAGACCTCCTGGATCAGAAGCTCTGGGTCTGAGGAGCGGGTATGAATTTGTGCCTTAAGTATCCCTCCAGGTGATTCTGATGTGCTTTCAAATTTGAGGTGCACTGGCTTGAAGGAAGGGCGGGATTGCAAGCAGGTGGCTCTCGGCCCTGGCTGTGCATTATAAACACCTGGGGAACTTTAGCAATATAGCCATACCAGGACTCAGCCCTAGAGTTTCTTCTTTAGTTGGTTTGGATGGGGTCCTTGCATTGACGTTTTAACCCTGCCTCCAAGGTGATCCTAGCGCAGAACTAGGATGTGACTGTTCACCACCTGCCTGACTTCGGTGAGTTATCTTAGCTCACAGATCCTCAATGTTGGCATCTGTATAATGGACCCTAAACCTCCCAAACTAAGGATGGGACTTGCAACAAAATCATGAGGCTTAAGACAAATGCTCTTGTCTTGTGAAATATTTGAGGGCTGTTGTTTGGTATGTCAGTGGGGAGTTCATGAGGGTTTCCTGGGGTATGCCAGTATCTTTTGACCATTCTTGACCATTTCCTTCTGGTGGCCTGTTCTGCCTCTTCTCATCGTGGGAATCTGGGGCCACAAGAACCCTCACTATACAAGCATTTTAAAAGAACATTGCAGGCTCCTCTGTGTGGAGATGACTGTCCCTGGGAGAGGAGAGGTTGACATGAAGCACTAAGGGCAGAAAAAAACAAGGGGAAATAGGTATAAATTCAAACCTTATGGGCTGTCGTTGGCAATGAGGACTTCACGCTAGCATATTATTATTCCACAATAGGAGTTACCAGTTTTTGAGCATTTGCTATGGGCCAGCACCATGCCAGGAGCTCTGCATGCCTCATTTCATCCCCTTCTCCCACTAGCCCTGGGAAGAGAGTACAATTATAACCAGCATTTTCCAGACAAGGAAAGGGAGGCACAGAGGTTAAGGAACTTGCTGAGTTCCAGGTTAGCAAGGGACAGAGCCAGGACTAGCCCCTGTGACATGTCTGGAGTTAACCACTTTATGTCAAACAGGTCCCTAGGCTCTCTAGGAAAGGTAATTACTGAGGAGAGGCACTAAAAGTGTCTCCAGAAACATGGAGTGAAGTGCCTCAGGGCGGAGTTGAACATCACCTTTCCCCGCCTCCTCTTACCTGTAAATTCTGACCCTAACCACAATGCCTCCTCCTGCTGGCTTCAGTTCTATATGATAAGAGCTTGGCATTCAGTTTTCTATGGCTTCGGTATCCCCAGATCCCTCAATGAACAAGAACTATGTGAAAAAGTAAACAGGCCTGCTGGGGACATTTCAGCTTCCTTTCTCGATTCCTCAGACTCCAAACTAAGAAATAAATCTGCAAAATCTCAATGCTTCTTTAAGAAGGAAATGACCTTGGAGTTTTCCTTTCTTTCCTCAAGAAAGAGCTGGAAATCAGGGCTGAATGAATTCAGTACTCACTTGTCCTCAGCTTTGAAAGATGGGAACCCTCCTAAACCCTCAAATGCAGCCCCTATCAGTGACTGATTTTATTGTAGAAACTAAACTGGCAGCCTGGCTGGGGATGAACCACTTGCAACTACCCCTCACTCACCCTTAGCTCGCTGCAGACCTTCCACTTCTGAGCATGCTCTGCGGATGCCGGAGATTGACAATACACTTATAAACCCATTTGCTGCTCGGCCCTGGTTCGTTATCTGATCAGACTTCAGAAAGGCTGTGTGCTAGATGATCCCTGTAAGTTTTCTGTCCCTGATAAATCCCCAATCCAATGTGTTCACTCTTGGCAGGTTTCTTTTCTTCCACTTTACCTCCTTCTGCCTCCACAAAAGTGATGGCAGAGGAACCAGGTCGAAATGTACCGTTAGTTTCTTGTGGGAGAAGCTGGCCCAAAAACAACCCCTAAGTATGGTATGTTGTATGTTCCTGGCACTTTTCCTCCCAAATTGGCTATTTGCATCAACTATCCCATTATCTGCCCCTTGAATCCACCATATTCTGAAAAATAAAATAGATAACAGCCTAAATTACTAACATCTGTCCCACTTAATATTCTTCATTGTAAGAGGAAAAGTGAAACTGTAAAAATGCCTTTTGATTAATCTAGTACTGCATACATTTGTATATTGTATAATATTTATTATGTATATAATACATTATACTATGTTATTTGTTTTATATATAATACATATTTTTTGTGTGTACATATATGTGTGTGTGTGTGTGTGTATAGATAAAGAGAGAGCGAGAGGGAGTCAATTCCCATTACTCATGATAGTTATGTTCTGCAAAGTTGCCACAAACACTGAACTAGTAAATACTGAACCACATTGCTCCTAGGAGAAATACAGGGTTAGGTTCCTACGAATTTTGGTTCCAGTATCTTCAACTGATCGAATAGCCTTGTTTTATGTGTGTTTCTGTTTAAAGATACCTCATTTAATACATTACTGATTCCATTAACAGGCTCCCAATATCTTCAACTGATCAATACCTAATCTTGTTTTATGTGTATTTCTGTGTAAAGACACCTCATTTAATATACTGTTGATTCCATTAACACTGAACTTGTGGCCAATAGCATGAGGCCTTTATTCAGTTCAAAAGCACTGAACAAATTGTATCATATGCATTATTTTCTCTGTAAGGCAAATCACAGCCTTCCTGCTCCTAGGAACACTCAATAGCACTATGCTTGAGGGCCATTTTTAAACAGCAAAATTACCAACAAAAAGTGCAAAAATGCAAAAAAAGTGTGGCACTAAATAGAACCCCCCCCCCAAAAAAAAGAGACCTGATTACAGCATAACAGCTGAAACAAGAAGAAAGAGACCTGCTTTGTTTACCTTCAGCTAGGAGCATGCATGTGAGGTGACTCAAACATTTTGGTCACTCTGTGCATGTCTGTGAATGACCATGAAAGGGTCACGGGTATTGATTTTGGGGATTCCAAATTTTAGCAAGTAGGCAAATTTGCAAATGTGGAATTCACAAATAATGAGTATTGGCTATGTGTGTGTATGTATCTGCATTCATCATGACTATATTGATTGCAAACCTTACTCAAACTAGTTCAAGTGATACCAAAGGACACTTATTTGCTAATGTAATTGAAGGGTCCCGCACATGGTGGAGGCATGACTGGATCCAGAGGCTCAACAATAGGCTAGAACTGAGTTCTCATCATCTCATCGTTCTGCTTTCTTCTGGGTTGGCCTCCCTTTCAGGCAGACTTCTCCGCCTGGTAGAACCCACCAAGTCCAAGTTTGTCTCATCCAGCTTCAGTTTAGCAGAAAAAAAAAAAAAAGAGCATCTCCTTTCTAGGATTGCAACAAAAGTCTGAGCATTGAGTCTAATTGGCTTGGATTGGGGAACTTAACCAACTTTGAGTCAATTATATGTAGTTACAAGGGGGAATATGCTGACTGGTGAGGCCAGAGTCATGTGAGAACCCCTGGAGCTAAGAATTGAGGCCAGCCCCATCAGAACACCACGGTCTGAGGGAAAGGATGGCTCCTTTAAAAACAAAACCAAACCAGGGTGTTAGTACCAGGAGAATGAGGAACTGGTGTCCACTCCCCATACCTCCATGGAACTTTCAGTCCTGTGGAGGATTATTTCTTGAACCAGTGAAGGCTAAGCCATGAGCTTCTGAATCCCAAATACATTAAAAATTCAGAGAAGAAAGAATGGATTGAAGAAGGCATTACAGGACAGATGAGAGTTGAGCTAGGATTTTAGGGCTTACAGGGAGAAACCAGCATTTCAGGGTGTGAAAAAAGTTTTACATCATTCTATGCCATCTTGATAGCTGCATGAATCTCACGGAGAAGAGTAAGTCAAGTCATACATGGTACATGGTTGGTGGATCCCAGCTTGTAGAAAGTGTGTCAATTTCTGATTCTATCCCCTTCTCTCTCTCTCTCTCTCTTCCCCTCTCTCCCTCTCTCCCTCACATACACACAAAACCCCTTTGTATATTTATTCATTCACTAAAACTGGGGAGAGGAGGAGAGGAGTAATGTGTATGTGCTACTGTCTATGGTGCTGAACTACAGCTCTGGCCTTCTGATTTCTATCTCTTTGCAAACCTTCTTTGAGCCAATGTATACAAATTACTTAGTGCAATCCCTGGCACACAGTAGGTGATAACTACATTATAGCTCTATTTGGCAGACTTGATATCTGGAGATGACCACAAGGGTGACTTCATCCTCTTTATTTAACCATGTGCCAGGCATTGTTCTAAGCACTTTACAAGTACTAACTCATTTAATCCTTTAACATCCCTGTAAGATAGGTGCTGTTATCATCCTTGTTTTTCTTAGAAGGAAAGAAAGGCATAGAGAGGTTAAGTAACCATCTTAACATCACACAACTAGAAAGAGGCAGAGTGGGGACTTGAATCTTGACAGCTCAGCACCTCTCAGCCTCTGCACTCTTTTGCCTCCAGTGATTTGAGTCATAACACCCGCCTGCCTGGGTGATTGGGGAGACCAAGGGCTTTGTAAATTGCAGAGTTCTCCATCTACAGTACTTGATGTTTTGAGGGTTGTGTTCACAGGGGCAAGAAGAGGAGAAGAGGAAGATTGTGGTCCATTCATGTTCTCCAGCCAATACTGGCCAAGGTTTTATTTTCTGTTTCTTTACCCCACCTGGTGCCTGGAAAGGAGGGGGGAATAGATAGAGGCAGGCCTTGAAGATTTATTGTTCATGAGAACTAAGAGAAGCTTTTCACTGTTTCTGAAGTGGCCTTGGATTTCTTAAAATCCACACCCCAGGGAAGTGAACACAGCTGGACTGTGTGAGGCAGAAAGCGTACTTCCTGTGACTAGAGACTGTGCTAAAATGTGATTCGGGAGAGGTGCGGTTCTGGAAGAACACCTGGACAATGCCTAGTGAGGGTTTTGCCTGAGCTGGTACAGGACTAGATGCTCTCTGTGTTACTTTTTGCTGCAACCTCAAAAAAACCCACAAAAGTGGGTGCTGCTACATCCCCCACGTAACAGTTGAGGGAACGGAGGCTCTGAAAAGTTAAGTAATTTGCCCAGGCTCAGACAGCTTAGCTGGGGGTTGAACACAGGTCTGTGTAACTCTAAAGCCTGGGCTGTTGCTCACTGCCCTTGATGGGAGATAGTATGTTGAAATGTGTACTGTGGGTGGAAATGAGGGTGTTGTGTTTGTATGATTGTGTGTGTGTGTGTGTGTGTATAGTGGAGTTGAGAGTGGTTGGAGAGTGGGTATGGTGGGTATGGAGTAAACTAGGATGTGGGAGTGGGGTGTGTGTGTGTGTGTGTATGTATGGGGTATATTTATGTGGGAGTGTGCACGAGTGTGTAGGGGAGGATGTGGAGTGTGGGTGGGGATGTGAGTGTGTGTATGTGCGTGTGTTTGCAGCAAGGTGAGAAGATAAGAAGAGCCCTTTCCTGGCCCATCTTAGGCCAGGATACTTCAGCTTTCTGTTATGTAACAGAAACTAGTTCTTCCTGCTTGATCACAGGGTCAGGCCAAGTCAAATGCCCCCTATATGTGGGGCATTTTAACCACATATAAGAGAGAAGAGTCTGTGAACTTGAGCCATTCCTTTTCAAATACAGAAAGGGGTAGTTTCAGGAAAGCTCATCACCCTCTTTATGACAGCCCCAACAAGTGGTTTTGCTGTTTGTGCTTGATTACCTCCAATGATGGGGAGCCTATTATCTATCAAAGTAGCATGTTTTCATTTTGATGGGGCTGATGGTTAGAAAGCTGTTTCTTATCTCACGCCAGATTCTCTCTTACTGGACCTTCTACTCAGTGGTTCCAGGTCTGGCTGGGTGGCCAGGTTGTAAGAGTGGTTATCTAGACTAGTGATTAAGACTGCAGGTATTAAAGGGAGAACATCTGGGTTTATAACTCACTGACTCCACCATTCCTTCCTGGTGATCTTGGGCAAGTTAATTCACCCCTCTGAGTGTGAGAAAGGGGAATAACTTCAGAGCCCACCTCACAGGATAGTGGTGAAGATCAAATGAGGTTGTATATGAAAATTGCCCACCTGAAGACTGGTGCTGTTCATTTCTACACTACATCCCACCTCTGCAGACCTGTGAAATGCTGACACTCAGGGCAGGATAGTGAGCTGGCCAAGAACACATGTTCTAGAGCCACACTGCTGGGACTCCAAGTGTGGCGCCATCATTTATTAGCTGTGTTATCTGGGCAAGTCCTTAACGTCTCTAGGCTTGGAGGGGCTGGGAGGCAATGTAAGTGGATGCGGGAGAGAAAGGGCCGGATGGAGAGGTCCTCCTGACAAAAGCTATGACCTTCAGAAGAATATACCCCAGCCTGTCTCTCCTCCCTCCCTCCAGTCTCCTGCTGGTGCCTCCCATTGGACAAACCCAACCAGAAGCCAGAGGGCCAGGAGCCTGCTGGTGCTCACACACGGGTCAGCCTCCCAGGGCACAGAGCAGGATGGAGGATGAATGGGTCTGGAGGCGCAAATAGAAATTATCAAGCAAAGCTACTTTATTATTAAGTTGAACCACATGACGCTGCCATTATGCAACCATTTTTGTACTATAAAAATAGCAAATTAATATGTTTAACCCAACAAATAATAGAGCAGGAGAGTCAGGAGCCTCATTTATATGAGACCCATATTTGAGTCACTGGACCAGCATGACCTTGACAAACCTTGGCCTCAATTTCCTGGCCTATAAAATGGGAATGCTATGTCTCCCATCTAAAATTTGTGAAATGCCCCTCAGATGTGAGGACCAGGACTGCTGCCATTTTTTAAAGGAGAAAAATGCCCCTCTCTGCTGTGAGCATTTTGTCTCTGAGGCAGAGGAGGGAGCAGGACGCCATTTGTGGTCTTCCGTGGCTTGATGAGATTTAGAGCTGCAGATAAGTCAACTCCAGCTGAGTTTTAATCAGAATGAATTTCACTGCAGCCTGGGCCTGAGTGGCAGCCAGGGGCCATTAAGCTAAATGACTTGTTTTAATATGGAGACCTGTCTAATCACATTTTCTGTGTGGGGCCAGTGTGTCTGTGTGTGCATGTGTTGAGTGCTGAAATCAATTCTGAGCCTTTGCCTTTTCCCTGCTTACCACAATGTAGCTGGGGCAGAGATAAGCCAGGTTAACAGCATGACAAAAGCAAGTTTCCGCTTTATCAAGGAATTGGGTAATTGGCTGGACCATGCAGGGAGCCCTGAAGAGTGTTCTGTTGAACGATGTCTGGTGTTAAGGTTTTGTAGACACAGGGCTCACAGAGACTCCCATAACCCAGGGGAGGAAGGAAAAGTTTTGGGTTCCCCTATCCAGCAGGAGACATTCGCCTCAGGAAGGTCAATCCTGGATGCTCTGCCCTGCCTCCAGTGGAGTCATGTACTATATTTATTTCTGTGGGCTCATTTCAAATGCACGCTCTGTTGTGACCTCCTGGCTGCACGTCTTCCAGCAAATGACTTTACCCCTCCAGGCTTCAGTTTCCCCATCTGTAAAAGTGGGTCATGTAAGATCCTGTTTTCTACGATCATTACCAAGATCAAATAAGACGTTGCATGTGAAACATTTGGTGCAGCTTCTGGCCCATAGAAAACACAGGCAGGCTGGGTTAGGTTGTGCTGTGCTGACCATTTCCAAAGTTTCAGATTTGTTTCTCACTCATACTACTTGGATATGGTGAGATAACAGGGGATGTCTTCAGAGCTGGGACCCAGGCTGAGGAAGGCTCTATCTTCATATGTACATGATTGTCCAGATAGGAAAAGGGTAATGTGGTGAGTATGCACTGGCTTTGAAGCTTCCACTTGGAAACGTTCTTTGGTCGAAACAGGTCATGTGGCCACTCCCAGCTTCCCCAGGGAAAGGGAGGGCCAATCTCACCACACAAGTCATTAACACTAAAGACAACGACGGTACTCAACAAATGACCCACGCTTGAGAATTATATTATTATTATTATTATTAGTGTATTACTATTGTAGTTATTTCCATAATCCATCATTGTTTTCCTCCATGTACTTACTCTGGTTTCAGAAAGGCTGAGATATTTCATTCCAGTGCAGAAACTGGACTCCCATCTCTTAGGAAAACATAACTGAGATTATTATTCATAATAAATTAAGGATAGCTTCTACTTGACAACGGCATGTTTTGTGCCAGGCTCTGGACTAAGGACTTCAGATAAGTGATTTCATTTAATCCTCACAGTTCCATTTTGAGGTGGGTTCTGTTTTTGTCCCTGCTCTACAGATGAGGAAACTGAGGTGTTGGAAGGTAAGTAAACTTGCCCAAGGTGACCTGGCTCATAAATGGAAGAATGGACTTGAACCCCAAACCCATACCCTTAGTCACCTTGCTGAGCTGTCTGCTAAGAGCAGGGGATCTTAGTCTCTGGATCTTCAAATGGAAGTTGGGGTTGGCTGAGTGGAGATGCTATGCACTATCATTGTTGATCCACAGAAATAGGGATTCAGCCCTGGCCCCACTTTCTCTTTTTAGCCCTGTTTCCCCTTCCTCCCTGTCTTCCATCTACCCAGGATCCATCCCCATGGGTCTTTCTATTCCCAAAATGTTTCATGTCCATTGCAGCCTCTGAACCCTGTTTACTCACTTCCCCATCCGTTCCTCCATCCTTTATCCTCACACACCCCAGCTCAGCCTTCAAGGTCCAGCCCAAATGTTCCCTTCTCTGGGAAGACACCCCCACCCCCACCCCAGGCAGAACCAATCCCACAGTCTGTCAGCTCCCAGGGAATTTTATACATTTACAAAATATAAATCTTTTCTAGAAATGCACACGTGTGTGTGTGTGTGCACCCCCCACCCCCCGCACACGCAGCCTTTTTAGAGGAGGGAAGAAATTGGTCTTTGCTTTTAATTAATGCCAGCTCTCTCATCCTGACTTTTAATACTGCCACCTCATTTGTCTTATTAAGTAGTTAGTTTTGCTTTTAATTAGTGTTGTTTATTGTCACTGAATTTTAATTGTCGTTGTAAGGTCTCAGCGGGCCTTAGTGGGGATGTATTAGAAACACTTTCTGTCCTCCAAGGAGCTTGGATGGCAGTGCCTCTGAGGTAGAGGAGGGAAGGATTCAAGGGGGTTGCTGAAGGCTGGTGTATTTTTCTCCAGGCTTCAGTCAATTCTGGTTGTCTTTGGAATCCCTGTTTGCTGCAAGGTAGCTTGGTCTCACCCAGAAGATACACAGAGAAAACTCAGGAAAATGGCAGGAATTTGATTCAAATTGGACTTGAATTTGACTTCTCAACTTAAGAAGAACAAAAGGCCGGGCATGGTGGCTCACGCCTGTAATCCCAGCACTCTGGGAGGCTGAGGCGGGCAGATCACGAGGTCAGGAGATCGAGACCATGGTGAAACCCCGTCTCTACTAAAAATACAAAAAATTAGCCGGGCACAGTGGTGAGCGCCTGTAGTCCCAGCTACTCGGGGGGCTGAGGCAGGAGAATGGCGAGAATCCGGGAGGCAGAGCTTCAGTGAGCCGAGATCGCGCCACTGCACTCCAGCCTGGGCGACAGAGTGAGATTCTGTCTCAAGAAGAATAAAAAAAAAAAAAAAAAAAAAAAAGAAGGGTGGAGAGGGGACATATTGGTCCATAGTAGCCCAAAAGGCTATGATAGATTGATAGATTCAGGCATGGCTGGATCCAGCATTCCAACAGCATCATCAGGAATCAGTCTCTATCTCCCAGCTTTTATCCTTTACCAGGCTTTTCTTGTGTGTTGGCAAAAGTGATCAATAGCAGCTATAGAATTCTGTTCTATCAGTTTAGCAGCCCAATGGAAAGAGAATGCTTCTTTCCACATAGTTCCAGCAAAAGACCAACTCAGGTCATGTACCTATCCTTGAACCAATCACAGCAGCCTAAGGGGTGTAATACACTGATGGGCCAGGCACAGGTCATTGGCCCACCTCTAAGGACTAGGGTTGGATGAGCCCCACCTGGACCACACAGATTGATACTGAGAGAGGATGTTTTCCCAAAAGAAAATTGGGGTGACTTTACCAACAAAAGGCTATCCAGATAAATGCTGGGTAGGCAAATGCAATAGATGTCTACCCTAGAGATCCACTGCAGTATCTCACTCAGGCTTAAGCAAACACCTAGGATTTAGACCTTTGTTTCTCTCCCCAGCTCTGCCCTCAAATAACACTAACAGTGTCCTCCCTGACTGATACTTGGAAAACACTTTAAATTACAAGGCCCCTTCACATGAATTAACTCATTGGTTCCTCTCAACAACCCTGCAAGACAGGCATAAGAAGAATATATATATATATATTTGAGATATGTATATATGTGTGTATATATATATATTTGAGATATATATATGTGTGTGTGTGTATATATATATATTTGAGATGGACTCTCACTCTGTCACCCAGGCTGGAGTGCAGTGGCATGATCTCAGCTCACTGCAACCTCCACCTCCTGGGTTCAAGCGATTCTTGTGCCTCAGCCTCTTGAGTAGCTGGGATTACAGGCATGCACCACCATGCCCAACTAATTTTTTTGTATTCTTAGTAGAGAGAGGGTTTCATCACGTTGGCAAGGCTGGTCTCGAACTCCTGGCTTCAAGTGAGCCACCCACCTCAGCCTCCCCAAGGCTGGGATTACAGGTGTGAGCCACCGTGCCTGATTAAGAATAGGAATTTTTACATCCTCATTTTACAGATGCAAAACTTGCTTAGAGTCATGCAGAGACTAAAAAGGGGAGGTAGGATTGGATCCCAGTGCTCTGGGTCTGAAGCCAGCAATTGTCTCACTGCAAGAGGCTGCTTCACCAGCCAGTTTTTGCTGTGTAACAAACCACCCCACAAAATAGTGGCTTAGAACAACAACCATTTATTTACCTTATGATTCTCTGGGTTGGCAATTGGGTTGAGTTCAGCTGGGTTCAGCTAGGCCAAACTTGGATGATCTTGGCTGGGCTTGTTCGTGTGTCTGTGGTCATCCTGTATTTTGGCTGGGACTGGCTGGTGTGTGACAGGACAGCCTTAGCAGCTTGGACAGCTGTGGCCTCTTGCCTTATGATTGCTCATTCTCCAGCAGGCTAGCCTGGTTTCTCAAATGGTGATTGCAGGGTTGCTAAAAAAATAGCAAAAGAGACCAGGCTCTGAAGGGCTAGTATTTCCAAGCCTCTGAATGCATCACATCTTCTACTGTCCCGTTGGCCACAGAAAGTCTTAGAGCCAATTCAGATTCCGTGGGTGGGGAAATAGATTTCACCTCTGGATGGTAGGAGCTGAAAAGGACAAGGATACAGAAAGGGAAGACATGGGGCTATTTTTTGTGATCAATTCACCCCATCTGCAGTGAGCTTACCTCTCTATTTCCTGAGCTGGGGGAGAAAGAGGGTACCAAATACACCTTTAGGGAGCAATGCTGGTGGAGGAAATTTGGAGCACCGTGAAATCTATGGAAGCATTTAGTGCTTTTCCAATCACATCATATAAGTTATGCTCCACTTTAGCTGCTGGAGAGAACGAACACTGATGGACGATGATGGAGATATTGATAATAGTGACAATAATTAATGTTTACTGAGCACATACTATGTTCCAAGTACCACGTTTTCTTTCTTGCCTTCATTTTCAAACCCCATTCTTCACAACAATCCTGGAGGCAGCATAGTAGAGTGATTAAACATGCAACATTGCATCAGATCCTGTAGGTACAAATCCCAGATCTGCCGGTCGCTGGCTGGGTGGGTAAGTCACTTAGTCTTCTAAGCCTCGGTATCTCCATCTGCAAAATGGAGATAATACTTGTACCTTCCTTAATGGGTGTTTGGGAGAGTTCAATGAAGCCATCCACTGCAAGCATTTAGTCCAGACCCAGGTACAACCTAAGCAGCCATTATGATGAAGTAGGTAGTGCTGGGATGACCATACTCATTTTATCAATGAGGAAACAGGCCCACAGACATTATGTATCTGCCCAAGGCCATGCAGCTTGTAAGTGGCAGAGCAGTGGAGGATGAACTCTGTGCCTACTTTAAAATCTGTGAAATGGGGACTGTCCTGTGGGGTTATTTAGAGGCTCATGGCAGGCACCATCTGTTATTGCTATGTGGCAATGGGAGAACCATATGGAGGGGACAGTGAGTTTGCTTTGTTGTTTCAAGGCCAGGAACACAAAGTCACCTTTGTCTCTAGGACCTCCCAGGCCTGTCTCTGTCATTGTCTCTGGCACCAACCAGATTGGCATGGAAGGAGCCAAGCTCTTGTCGTTTCAGCCTTAGTCGGCTTCAGGGAAGGCTGAGAATGTCCCAGCTGGCTCTAGGAACAAGGAAAAGCCAACAGCAGCCTGTACCGTCTGGACGGGACTGGATGTGTAAGGGCTGCTGGAGTCCCATGAGAGAAGGCAGGAATGACCAGGCGGGCAGGCAAGTGAAGGGGCACTCGGCTCCATCAAGCACAGTAGACAAAGCAGGAGGTCGCCGTCTTTCTCTTTGGTGTCCCAAGTGTCCTTGTCATAGTAAGGGTTTGTAGAAATCCCAACAGCCTGGAAAATAGTCAACTCTGGATGCATATTTGAGATGGAATAGAATATACTCAGCTTGCATCACTGTTCAGAGGCTTTCTGGGTCTCCTGCATCTCTCAGGCCAGAAGTTTACATGGTCTTCATGATCTGACACCCACCCCCACCACCACCACTCTGATCTCAGCTCCCTCTTGCTCTCTTTACTCCAACCACTCTGTCTTCCTTACCATTTCTCCAACTTACCAAGCACATGCCTGCCCCAGGGCCTTTGCATTTACTTTTTCCTCTGCCTGAAATGCTCTCCCCCAGATGGCCATGTGGCTCAGTTTATTACCCACTTTGGGTCTTTGCTCAAATAGCATCTCTCAGTGAGGCTCCCTCTGACCACCTATTTAAAATCACACTTCCCCCCAAGTTCCCAATCATCCTTCCCTCTTTTATTTTTCTCTAAAGCACTCATCACCTGTGGACACATTTAATATTCTACTTGTTTGCTTATTGTCAGTCTTCCCTACTAGAAGGTATGTTCCATGAGGACAATAATTTTTGTCTTTGTTTGTTTTAATGTTATATCCCCTGTGCCTAGAACAGTGTCTGGCACATAGTAATGGTAAATGTTCCATAAATATTTTTTAATTCTTCTAATTTCCCAAGAGAAGCTGGCAATCTGTGTTTTTAATTAAATCCTGCGCTTTTAAGATATTGATTGAATTTTACCCTTAAAAAAAAAAAAACCCCTTCATGGGCCAAACAAAACATTTTCAGCCTGGATTCTGTTCATGGACACTCGTGCTTCCCCCAATGTGAGGCCCTTTTGTTAAAGTACATTTTCCACCCCATCAAATAGTCAGAGTGATTTTTTCCAGATACCTAGTTGAGCAGTGATATACTGCACTCAGGGGAAGAGACAAGGGGCAAGGAAAGAGATCAAGAGATGGAACTGTCTGGGCATTGTCCAAACTTGTGGCTGCAGGTTCTGCTGCAAAGCGTCTGGTTTAATTCCAAGACTGTTGGGATAGGGAGGCCAACTGTGGCATTGAACTCCACGCAGACAGCTGCAGCTCCTGCCGGTTCCCTGCAGTGCCCTGAAGTGCTGCATAAAATCCCTGCCAGCCCAGCCCCGCTGGGTCACGTTCAGACACCTGCCACAGCAACTCAGAAACTAAATAGGCTTTGCGTTGTTTTTTCCATTCAACTACAACTAGCAGAAAACCCTGGAGATTTTGGGGGATGGAACCACTGTTCCTTAGCAAGCGATGCTAAGGAGAGCCAGGGGAGAAGCAGGCAGAACCAATGGCAAAGGAGGAGAAGGGAGGACCCTGGAATCTGGGTTACCTGGGGTTAGGACAGAGTCTTTGTAGCAGTCTGAGATTCCAGGTCTGAGATTCAGTCTAAGATTCAGATTCATCCAGCTATCCAGTGCTTATTATTAGACGTTTAGATTGTTTGAAGGAATTTAAGCAGAACCTTGGAAAGTTCACTTAAACTTTCCTCAACTCAGTTATCCCATCTGTAAAATGGGACAAGAAGAGCACATACCTCATAAGGCTGTTGTGAGGATTGAGGAGATAAAACTTGAAAGGTGCTTAGCATGGAGTAAGCCCTTGATATTTGAACTTTCAGTTGTTGTTGTTGCTTCTTTTGTTACTGAAAGTAGATGATTCTTTAGAGTTTGTACAAGGACTGTAGGGGAATTTCTGTCCAGCTAAGAAAGAAGAGCTGGAGTCTCTGGTTTCAGGAGAAGAAGTCATTTTATGCTTTTGAAGTTGCAGCTGCAGGGCTGGATTTAAGCCACTGCCTTGGCCTTACCCAAGCCAAAGTATGTGATCTCTCAGTGTAGCCTGGGAGAGGGCTGGGTGGGTAGGTATCTCTTTGTCTCTGAGGCTGAGAGGTGAAAATGCACCCAGGGGCCAGAGGGCCAGGAATGGACAATCACCAATCCTCTAGACACTTATCAGAACCCAACAATCCAAAGCCCAGGGGCAATGAACGGGTGTGAACAGAGTAGTGAGTAAGCACATGGGCTTTGGAGTCAGGGTCCAAACCCCAGTTCTGCTACTTGGTAGCTGTATGATTTTGAGCAAGTAGCTTAGCCACCCTGAGCCTGAATTTTCTTACCTGTAAAATGAGGATAATACCATCTACCTTGGAGTAGGATTGTAAGGAGTAAAGCAAATAATGTAGGTATGGAATTTGGTGCATAGCAGGTGCTCAGAAAATTGTAAGTCATCATCCTATACCCGATAAGTATAGGAGAAGCAGGAAAAGAGAATTACCACTTTACAAGTCTTTGCTGTGTGCTAGGGAGTGTAGCTGATGCTTACTTAAACTTATCAGCTCAGTGATGCCAAGTTTCTGCAGTGGTCCTAGGGCTGGAATTTGGTACTATTTATGTGACACTTACATTTATACTTTTGCTTCTTGTATCCATGGTTGGTTTCCTTCTTCTGGTGCTCCCTGGGCCTCAGGCCTCCAGTCTATTATGACGATGGTTTCTCTGTAGTGAGTGATGGGAAAGTGGGGAGTGGTTTGAGAATGTCTGAGGTTCACCACTAGACTTTCTCCATTTCTGTTGACTCACCCTCAACTCCTCATGAAGAGTTGGCTTTCATGAAGTATCATCTGCAGGCCAGTAGGAAAACATCTTAGGAGAACATTTTAGGATCACGCTGTGTTGGATTAGAAAACAGCTAAGTGACCACTAGGGGTGATGTAATGAGCTCGTGGAGCAGAACCATGCTTCCCTGAGATTCTCCTGTCTCCTCCCACACAAGGTCAAGTTCCCTAGAAGCAGAACCTGAGATGTGCATTCTTGTACTAGTGATGGACTCAGGGAGTGCTCCAAGGAGGAACCTGCTAGGGAATGAGGGAAGCAGGAAAGGGCAGCAGAGGAAGCTAGGCGAGGGCGTGGCTTCACCTGAAGTCTGGCCTCAGCCCAATCCTCAGGGAGCTCTGGAGTGTGATGGCAGCACACAGCCGTCTTGCCCTAGAAGAAGGGGGCTGTACTTTTCTACCCTCCTCTTATTCATTAGCCATTGGCTTTGTGCTGCTCCCTGGTATCTCTGGGCAAAGCAGCTCCTGTTGGATGAGGGCGATTCTCTGGAAAATGGTGCTGCTATGAGCCCTTAGTGTAGCCCTTCATGGCTAACACTCCTAGAGGCTGGGATTGGGAGGATGCACCAGCTGTAGGGGGGATCCAGATGAGGAATCAACAGTGACTATTAGGGTGCCTCCCCCCAACTGCATCTCCACCTCCATCCCAGATCTGCCGGTGGACACATGCCTTCCTGTCCCTGGGCCTGTTTCTCTAGTTGTTCAAATATCCTTGATTGCTTGAACATTTTCCTCTTCTGGTCCAGGCCTGGTAGACTGGGGTAAGCACCAGATAAAGAGTCCAATCCTGGGATGTTAAGTGCATTGAGAGTCCCAAGTGGCCAAGCTGAAATAACCAGGGCTGTCCAGGGTGGCTTCTGGCCTGGAGGGATGGAGCTGGGTGGTTTCCACTGGGTGGTCAGCCAGGGAGTTTAGACTTTGCAGGTGGAATTTTAGTGGGAAACATACCCCTGGTGTGCGTGACTGAACAAAGGAGAGTGCGAGCAGGCCAGATTCTGCCCTGAGGATGATGGAATTTGGAGATCAGAGTTCCTGGGAGGTGATCATGTGTCTCCTTTATCCCAGACCTACCTTCCTCCCAGGATCTCCAAGGCCAGTGTCTTCTCTCTGCTGCAAAGCAGAAGATGAAACCTTCAGTTACAGTTTCAGCTTTCTAGACCAACTGCAGCCGAGGAAGCTCATTCTCGGGGACTGAGCCTCTTTGCACTCAGCAGGGGCCAGAGGTCCTCCAGGTGGGGGGCTCCAGGGAAGCCTGCTCAGCTCTCACCACAGGCAATAATGAGACATTAAAGTTCTTTTTCAGCAAATTTCTTTCACAACAGGAGCTGTCTCTCCTTTCTGTTTTTGAAGTAGAAACAATGAAATGCCCATATTAATCTGGGAAGATGATGTTAACCACATGGGAGCAGATGAAATAGCTTTACTGTAAGGGATCTTCTCTGCTACGGGTCCAACCAGCATTCCCCTCCGGTTTCTCACACACAAAGATTGAATAATTACAAAGGATACAGGACAGGAGAGGGAGGTCACTGTGTGTTCACCTCCCAAGTTATCTATTCAGCGTCACAGGAAACAAGACCTACAGGGAAATCAGGACCCCCTAGACACGCCAATCTACTTTCTATTTGTTTTTAAAATAATTACTGCAATCTCCACGTGGTCTCTCCCCCCCTTACTCTTGGTGGGACCTTCAGAGGGGTGGGGTCGGGGGCAGGTTCAGAAAGAACGGAAGCCTGGCTGAGTTGAGCCGCACTGACAGTGTTGATGGAGACTCTTTCACACATTCAGCAAATTTTCATTACGTACCTTCTAGGCGCCAGACTCTATGCTAGTGTTGGAGATTAAGCAGTGAACAAAACGGAAAAAGTTCCGCACGGCTTACATGTTAGCAGGGGGATTCAAGCTCTAAGCAAAGACACAAACATAAAAATAAACAACTTATATTAAATTGGGGTAGTGATAAGAGCTAGGAGGAAAACTAAATCAGAGTAAAGGAGGCCAGAATGGAGAAGCGGGAGGAGGAACTATTTTATTTATTTATTTATTTAGGTCATTTTCTTTTTCTAAAAAATACATATTTTATTTTAACTTCTAGGGTACATGTGCAGGATGTGCAGGTCTGTCACTCAGGTAAACGTGTGCCATATGGTAGTGTGTTGCACCCATCAGCTCATCACCTAGGTATTAAGCCCTGCATGCATTAGCTATTTATCCTGAAGCTCTCCCTACACCGACCCCGCTGTGGGAGCTGTTTTAAACTGAGCGGTCAGGGAGGCCCTCTTGGACGAGGTGCATTTAGGAATAAACCTACACGAAGGGATAGAGAGAGCCAGACAGGCATCTGCAAGAAGGCTTCCGGGCTGAGGGAAGAGCAAGTGGGAATGTGCTGGGGATGTTGAGGGAGCAGCAGGAAGGCCTTTGGGGCTGGGAAAGAGGGCGTGAGAAGAGTGGAAGGAAAAGAGAAGGAGGCTGCAGGGAGCCAGCGTGTGCTAAGGGGTTTAGATTTTAGTCTAGGAGCAACAGGGAGCCATTGAAGACTCTTGAGCAAAAGAGTGACATAACTGACTTGCTTTTTCGGGATGAAGGGAAGGCCATAAAGTACACACATCTCAAGAGTTTAGCTTGATGGCCTTTGCAGATGTATATACCTGGTTAGTGGCCACCCAGATCAAGATATGGAATATCTTCACCCCATGGAGGCCCCCTTCTGCCCCTTCTGAATCAATAGCCTCCCCAAAGTAAGCAATTTATTTGCCCCAATTTCTGTCACTACCAAATAGCTTTGTCTTTTCTTAACTCTTGTGTCAATATAATCAAACAGTGTGTTCTCTTTTGTTCCTGGCATCTTTCACTAAACATAACATCTATGGGTTCATCCATGGTGTTACATGCGCTGTATCAGAAGCTTGTCTGTCATTGCTCACCAGCATTCCACTGTACAAATAAACCACAATGGCTTTATCTGCTCTCTGTTGATAGGCATTTGGATTGTTCCTGTGTTAAGCTATTATGAATAAAGCTGCTATAAACATTCTTGTACATGTCTTAGAACATAAGCACTTTTTTCTTGGGTGTATACCTGAGCATATTTCTCAGGTATATACCTGAGTAGAATTCCTGAGCCACAGAGTAGATGGACTTTTAGCTAACAGATACTGCCAAACAGTGTTCCAAAGTGGTGACACCATTTTTTTCAGCTTTATTGAGATATAACTCACAGATAATATAATTCACCCATTTAAAGTGGACAATTCCGTGGCTTTTAGTATTCTCACAGAGTTGTGGATCCATCACCATCATCAACTTTAGAATATTTTCACTGTCCTTACAAAGAAACGCTGCACCCCAGCACCTCCCCCAGCCTGGGCAACCACTAATCTCATTTTTATCTTTTATAGATTTTCCTATTCTGTATACTTTATATAGGTGGAATCTCAAAATATATGGTGTTTTGTGTCTGGCTTCTTTCAGTTAGCATCATGTTTTCGAGGTTCACCTATGTCATAGCGTATGTCAATACTTCATCTGTTTTTATGGCAGAATAATGCTACATGGATATACCACATTTTGTTGATCTTCTCATCAGTTGGTGAATACTGGGCTGTTTCTACTTTGTGGTTATTATGAATAATGAATGAAATAGGACAAGGGTAGATGGAGAAAGACCAAGGAGGAGTCAATTGCATTAAGTCAGGCAGGGATAGTGGCAGTTTGGATCAGCATAGTAGCAATGCAGGCTGAAAGGAGTAGGCAGATCCTAAATCTATTTTAAAGATCAAGACAATACCATTTTCTGATAGCTTGGATGTAGAGTATTTTTTTTTAAAAAAGGCAGGGACACATGGACACAGGAAAGGGAACATCACACACCGGGGCCTATCCTGGGGTGGGGGGCCAGGGGAGGGAGAGCATTAGAAGGAATACCTAATGTAGATGATGGGTTGATGGGTGCAGCAAACCACTATGGCACATGTATACCTATGTAACAAACCTGCACGTTCTGCATATGTATCCCGGAACTTAAGTATAATAAAAAAAAAAGGGAAAAAAAAAAGGCAGGGATGACTCCACAACAACTAAGTCAGATGACTTGCTCAGTAGAAAGACCCTGGATTCGAGTTAAGAACTCTGGCCCACACACTGCTGGGGGTGCAGTAGGCTTCCCTCAACATTCCCTCAACAGTGAATGGGAAGAGCTTGGATTTAGGTGAGGGGGTTCTTCCCTCTGGTGCATTTCTTGCCACGGGGTAGCTGTGACTTCCAGCAAGACACTTTCCCTCTTAGGGTCTCAGACTCCCCATCTGGAAAATGAAGAAACTGGATTTAGTTCTCTGTCTTCTCTATCCCACTGGGTGTGTGGCATAAAGCAGGGATTTGGGAACTAAGGAGTGGCTGAATGATGGGGTGATGTCCTCTCTGGATTGATGTTTTCCAGGAGCACTAGACATCTACTATGACTGACACCGTGTTCAGCAACAGTTCTAACCGTTGGATGTACCCCAGTGACCGGCCCCTTCAATCAAAGTAAGTTGCTGCATCTTCCTGGGAGTGGCTTGTTTTGAGTCGATGAGGTTTTGACAATTCTACACTTGAAAAAAAGAAGGAATAGCTTCCTTCCCTGAGGAAGGGGGAGAGGAACCTAATGGGAGTTTAGTCATGAAAACATCTCCCCTAGTTTGACTATTTTGCGAGGTTGGAGGAACAAGATTAAATCCTGAGTTTCATGCTCCATAGAATAGGTGACCTGGTAGACTGGAGAGATAACTGACCTGGTGGTCAGAACCAGACTTGGGTTCTAGTTCTGGATATGAGCTAATTTACTGTGTGATGATAGGCAAATATCTTCCCCTCTCGGGGCCCTAGTTACCTCATCGGTCAAATAAGGAAGTTGCACTAGATCAGAGATTACAAACTGGCAGACTCTGACTTGCAGAAGTGTATGTGTAGGTTTTTTTCTTTTTTTATATTTTGGGACTGATCATGTAAAAATTGGGAGATTTCACACGAAAGTCCAGATTTCTGACATGTCTTCAAAATATCAGAAGACCTGACAACACTGGACTACAATTTTGCCAACAGTTCAACAGAAGACAAGTAGCAGCTCATATATTTAGACTGGCAAGAGCTCTCCAGTTTTCCACTGTCCCCATCATTCCTTGTTGGTCTCTAATACCTGGCCTACTTTGGGCATTTCTGTTACCCACCCATCCCAGTTGGTTTTCCTGGAACAGATGACCTCTAAGTTTCCTTAACTGTGAACTTCTGTCGATCTTATATTAGACGGTATTTTAGGATCAGTTTAAGAGTTTAAATTCTGGGTAGGACAGTTGAGGATACGGTTATTTTTGTAAAAAGAATAAATGTCAGGATGTAGTTGTTGTGGCTTGCCCAAAGAGAAAGGCTTTTTTTTTTTCTTTTTTTTTCTTGAGACAGGGTCTTGCTCCTTTGCCCAGGCTGAAGCGTACTGGTGCAATCATAACTCATTGCCTTGACCTCCTGGGCTCAAGCAATCCTCTTGTCTCAGCCTCCTGAGTAGCTTGGACTACAGGCATGCACCACCACGCCTGGCTAACTTTAATTTCTTTTTGTAGAGATAGGGTCTTGCTATGTTGACCAGGCTAATCTCAAACTCCTGGGCTCAAGTGATCCTCCTGCCTTGGCCTCCCAAAGTGCTGGGATTACAGGTGTAAGCCACCACCCCCAGCCTACAAAGGCTTTTTAGCAAAAATTTTTCCTTATTGGAGAGCAGTGTTTCCCTAAACTTGGTCATTTGAGCACCACTTTTACTATTTTTACCTTATCTATGAAATAACATTATTGTTATTTTCTCTTAATTGGCTACTTATAAAATGTAAACACTCATTTAACAAGAACTTTTTAAATCACAAATGGATGTAAGTGGATAATTAGTTCATGCTTTCTATGAACAAAGGTAGCCATGAAGACAAATAATTAAAAAAAAGTTACTACATTCTAGCTATAAACTGTAGCCTCATAGAGGCTCTGAGCCTGAGACTTGCTTCCCACTTAAAAAGGCAACTAGCAAGTGAAAGACAAGTGTTAAAGTCATATGAGCACTTTCTCCTTGAAGTACATAAGGTTGGAAAGGAGATTGAAATGGGAATGCCTTTCTTATTATTTAATATCACCCTGTCATTTACTGTCTGATTAATTTTTGTTATAATTTCTATTAAATAATCCTTTCTCATTTTCTTAAGTGTATTCTATAACTTTCTAAATACTTGGGTTGTATATTTACCTCTTTAATATAAAACTTCCCTCTTTTCTAATATTAGTAATTATAAATGTGATACCCAAAGTACCACATTCAAATGATCCCACAAGCTTCAACATATAGTATTTTCATTGTTTCTCATTTCTATGTATTTTAAAATTTCTCTTATGATTTCTACTTTACCCCAAGAGTGATTTGGAGGTATATTTAAAAATTTCTAGATGTTTGAGGATTCTTAATTTATTACTTTTTTTGTTATTAATCTCAAATTTAATGGCATTTTGGTTGGAGAATATGACCTATATGATACTTAGTCTTTGAAATGTGTTAAGATTTGGCTTATAACCAGATCTTAGGATATGCTCAATGAGTACATAAGAAAAATGTGCATTCTATAATTATTGTTTGTAAGGTCACTCACATATCAAAATGAGATTATTAATTGTGTTTATAACTTTTTTTACATTTACTGCTTTTTATTCTGCTTGTATTATGTTGAAATCTCCTTCAATCACCATGGATCTGTCAATTTCCCCTTGTGGTTCTGTGAGATGGCTACAGGTTTGGAGTTGATCTATGTTACTGAAAAATTGAACCTTTTATCATTATGTAATGTCTCTCTTTATCTCTAATAATGATTTTTTGTCCTAAACTCCCTTTTGTGATATTAAAAAACAACATCAGCTTTCTTTAGTTTTTTTTTTATCATTTTATTTTTAATCTTTTAGTCCTCTTACGTTTCAGGTAAGCGAGTATAAAGGGTATTTTTAGCCAGATTTTGTTTCTTTTGTTGTTGTTTAATTCAGTGTGGTAATCTTTGTCTTTTAGGTGATGATTTTACCATTTACAGATACTGTAATTA
This sequence comes from Homo sapiens, assembly GCF_000001405.40. Taxonomy (NCBI): domain Eukaryota; kingdom Metazoa; phylum Chordata; class Mammalia; order Primates; family Hominidae; genus Homo; species Homo sapiens. Next base: position 112,830,963 of record NC_000012.12, read on the forward strand.
TCAGCAAACTCTTTCTGTAAAGGACCAAATAGTAAATATTTCAGGCTTTTCTGGCCATAAAGTCTCCATTGCAACTACTCCACTTTCACTGTTCTAGAGCAAAATCAGCCATAGGCAATATGCACATAAGTGGGCATGGCATTTTTTTTTTTTTTTACATAAAAACAGGCGGCTGACTGTATTTGGCCTGTAGGCTATAGTTTGCCGATCCATTACATAGTTTAACTTTTCTACTCTCTTGTTTTTGTCTCTCTTTTTCTATGGTTCTTTTGTTTCTCTCCTTGTCTTTTATTTTTATTAATTGGTTAATTGGGCTTGGGGGTTTACAAATTCCATTTTTCTCCTTATTGGTTTCAGTCATATGGTTCATTCCTATGATATCCATGGCTATCCTTAAAGTGTTACTATTCATAACTAATCATGTCTGGAGTTACTCACTGTCTCAACATCTTCCTCTAGACAACACAAGGTGATTAAAACACTCTTAACGACATCTTAATTCCGACCCTCCTTACCTACATACGACTCTTCTCTAGTATCTTAGTTTAATCCTTTATTTAACTCCATATATTAGACATTATTATTTTATACTGGCTTTTTTTTTTTAATTTGCCTGTCTTCTAGTTTTTTGGTTCAATGTTCAAATCTTCCTGAATCTTGGTGCTTCTTGGGGCCACTTTACTTCTTCCTGAAGTACAGCTTTTCATTTGGTAAAATTCTGTTGGTAAGCTCTCTCAGACTGTGTGTATCTTAAAACATTGATTTATCCCTTGTTCTTGAAGGTTGCAGCATTCTAGGTGGACTTTGAAGGATTGGTTGTGCTTTCAAGTGTCTGTTAAGAGTCTTAAGCCAACAAATTGCCCTTCCTCTGTAGATGGTTTTTCCTTCCACGTAAGCCCTTCTTTTTGATGTTCTGTAGTATGATGTGCTTAAGTGTGTATTTCTTATTGCTTTTTTCTACTTGGTGCATGTTGTACTTCCTGAAACAGTGGATTCATGTTTTTCAGCATGAAAATTCTAGAAATTTTCTAGTTCTAGAAAATTCTCAGCATTATCTCTTGAAATATTTTTCTTTCTTCGATTCTCCCTATTTTCCCTATCTGGAATCTGATTAGATAAATATTAGACCTCCATGTTGCTTATTCTCTCTCTCACTTTTTTCTTTGAGTTGGGGTCTTGCTCTGTCTGTTCTCTCCTTCGTATTTTATATCTCTTTACCTCTGTGCTGTATTTTGGGTAATTTCTTCACGTCTTTCATCCTGGCTATACTCTGTCTTAGAGCATATTAATTTGCCATTAAACCACCCATTGCATTTTAGAATTTAGTAGTTACATATTTTATTTCTAAAAATTATTCATTCATTTTAATATCTTCTTCACCATTTTTAATCTCTTGCCTCTTGCTTGTTTTCAATCCAAATTTTATTTCTTAAATATTTCACATATAGTAACTTCACATTCTGTATCCAATAATTATACCTGAATCAGTGGCATGCTGGATATGTACCATAAAATCTCATTAGAATGGATGTTAAATTTTCAGGATTTGTGAGCCAGTTAATAAACATGGCCATTATTAAAAATTAAGATATATATTAGCCAGGAACTGTGGCTCACACCTATAATCACAGCAATTTGGGAGGCCAAGGCAGGAGTATCACTTAAGGCCAGGAGTTCGAGACCAGCCTGGCCAACACAGTGAGACTCCATCTCTGCAACAAATTAAAAAAATTAGCTGGATGTTGTGGTGCATGCCTGTGTTCTCAGCTACTCAGGACGCTGAAGCAGGAGAATTGCTTGAACCCAGGAGTTCAAGGTTGCAGTGAGCTATGATTATGCCACCACACTCCAGCTTGGGTAACAGAGAGAGACCCTTTCTCTGAAATGAATAAATAAAGTTATATTTATAGTTAAATGATATTACACACAATGGTGATAAATACTCAAAGTTAAACACATTTCAATTATTTCACTCTTTTTTTTTTTTTTTTTGAGACCGAGTCTTGCTCTTTTGCCTAGGCTGGAGTGCAGTGGCACAATCTTGGCTCGCTGCAACCTTCGCCTCCCAGGTTCAAGCGATTCTTTTGCCTCAGCCTCCAAATGGGGTTTCACCATGTTGGCCAGGCTGGTCTTGAACTCCTGACCTCAGGTGATCTGCCCACCTCGGCCTCCCAAAGTGCTGGGATTACAGGTGTGAGCCACTGCACCTGACCTGTTTTACTACATTTTGATATTCTCTGTTATTTATGTCTATTATGCCTGTAAGGTGGAAATACTATATAAAGGTATGCTGCTGTACATTTCTTCCCAGCTCTTCGTTTAGTCCCATCATGTTGGCATTTGAAATCAGCCTCCATGGGGCTCTTTCCCCAGAGAGTCAGTTGTTAAACATTTACCAGCACAGCACTGCCTGAAGCCTCTGACCATGTAGGTCTTTTATTTGTCTTTCTTGCAGATTTTCATTCATAATTACTTGCGCTTTGAATGCTCAGTCTGTGAGAATCCTAGGGACCTACCTTGGGAACATTTTTCTTCAGAGATATTTACACTTGCTTCTGCCAGGAGTGAGATGTTCTGGTCATCCAGAAACACTTTAGCCCCCTGGAATGTAATGTTGGTATTTGCAGTGGTTTATTGCTCACAGCTCCCTGTTCTGGATTCAGTTTGCTGGATTCCCTTTTTTAAAAATTGCTTTACAGAGGTAGAATTAATATACCTTCAACAGTACACAATTAGGGTAATTTAAAGCACAGTTTGATAATTTCATGTTTTTTTTTTTTTTTTAAAGACAGTGTCTCACTGTGTCACATAGGCCGGAGTGCAATAGCACAACCATAGCTCACTTTAGCTTTGACCGCCCAGGCTCAAACAATCCTCCCATCTTGGCTTCCTGAGAACCTGGGACTGTGGGTGCACATTACTGCACCTGGATAAGTTTTTTTTTAAATAGAGATGAGGTCTTGCTATGTTGCCCAGGCTGGTTCCAAACTCCTGGCCTCCAGTGATCCTCCAGCCCTGGCCTCCCAAAATGCTGGAATTAATGGCATGAGCCACCATCAGCCATAAAAACATGTGTATACCCATGAAATCATCACAGTAATCAAGATAATGGACATATCCATCCATTGCCAAAACTTCTTTGTTACCCTTTATAGTTCCTCCTTCTTACCCCTCCCTCTCCCCACCCATCCCTAAGTCATCACTATTTAGCAATAAATTTGTTTGCATTTTCTGGAATTTCATATAAATGGAATCATCCAGTGTGTACCCTTTTTACAAGGGAGCTGTCTGTCTTTCACTCAGTGTAATTATTTTGAGATCCAATCATATTGTTTTGTATATCAATAGTTTGTTTCTTTTAATTTCTGAATATTATTCCATTATGTGAATATGCCACAGTTCATTTACTCATTTATCCGTTGATGGACCATGGGTTTGGGCTAGTACAAATAAAACTTTGTATAGACACATACTTTCATTTCTTTGGGGTAATTACCTAAGAGTGGAGTGTTTCAGTCACATGGTGGATGCCGGTTTAACTTTTAAGAAACTGTCAAACTGTTTTTCAAGTTTACTGTATCATTTAAAATTTCCACCAGAAGTAGATGAGAGTTCCAGCTTCCCTACCACCTCAGCAGCACTTGGTATGATCAGTCTTCTTAATTTTAACCTTCTTGATGTGTGTATAGTGGTATTTCATTGTGGTTTTAATTTGCATTTCCCTAATAATTAATGATGTTAGACATACTAATATAAAATTTTTTCATTCGTGTAACTTTTTGTTGAAGTATCTTTTCAAATCTTTTGTCCATTTTTAAAATCAGGTAATTCATCTTCTTGTTATTAAGTTTTACAAGTTTTCTTATGTTATAGATAAAATCCCTTGTGGATATACATGTTACAAATACTCTCTCCAAGTCTGTTACTTTCCTTTTCCATAACAGAGTCTTTTGAAGAGAAAAAGTTTTTATTTTAATTCAATCTATTTGGTTTATTTGTTTAGAAAGGGAGAGGGATCTTGGAGAATTTCCTTACTTTCTAGAAATCCCAGAGCTGCATTTTTTTTAAAGTTTGCTTTAATTTTTCTAGGATCTAATTTTATATTGGTGAAGGGTCTTTCTGAATATTTAGTCCACCCATATACTCCACAGCAAATGTCTCATGTCTGTTTACTACTTCTTCTATCTAATACCTCCTCCAGTTCTACAAGTTTTACAGTTTTGAAGACACTATTGAACTCTGTTCGTTTCCTTTTTTCATAGGAAATTGCTAGTTTCCAAAGCCCTTTTCATGATGTCTTCTTGCAGCCAAACTTATTTTACAGAGAATATTTCCTCAGCCAAAAAGTGTGTCTCTGTAAGATAAACAGTTGCCTGAAGGGTGGATGGGGTAAAATATTTATTTTATTTAAGAAATGTCAGTTAATTAAAATTCCATCCATCAGAGTTTACTTTAGTCGATATGAAGCCAAACAATTTGCCTTACAATTAAATTAAAATTATCCAAACAGTCTGGACGCCATTTCATTAAAGTGTTCCTCGGCTCCCATGAAACATCTTGGCATTCTGAATGCATCTGGCTGCTTGATTGCTGCTGCCTCTTCTTCAGATATTAAAATTATTTTCCAATAAATGCTAATGGGTGAATTACAGTCATCACACATGCTATCTAGTCTGCTGCAGTGGTGGTGAACTAATGCAGACACTTATAATGTCTTTCTCCAGTAAATTAACAAATCTAGTCATAATTAACTGCTGGCTAGCTAGATACGCTTCCTGCTTTTGTTATTTTCAAATGTCTTTCTCTCTCACCCTCCTTAAATTTAATGATCATGTTTGAAACCAACAACAGGGGAATTTGAGAGAAATGAATGCGTTTTCTTCTTGCTTGGTTAGGGCAATGGTTCAGTTTTCATGTTAAGAATACATGGGGAGAAATGCTGGTCTTTGACAGTTGATACTTCTATCTAGCATTTAAGTCTGCAAGCCAGAGAGTGCCAGACATGGAAGGAGGAAACTGAGGCACAAAGAGATGATATGACCTGCTTTTGGTTGCTTGCCTCATAATCGGAGATGCTGGTCTCCGGTCTAGAGTGGAAGAACTTGCCTCCCCAAACTGGGGAACTACAAGGTCTACTGTTCAGGGCCGATTGCTCTACCTAGTATGGTCCTTGTCCCCCAGTGTTTGAAATAACAGAAAGCAAGAATGATGATGGCCATGAGATCATTCAGTGATTCCTTTTTAGTGCCCTTAAACCATTATTCAAATACATACACAATCAGCTCAGTTAATTAATAAGCCAAACTGGCTGGTCAATTTAATCAAAGATGTGAATTTCATAATGCTATGTTGAAGCAGCCTTGTGTTAGATATGCTGAAATAAGGTAATAATGGCTGAAACAAAATGGAAGTAGGTCATCATAATTCAAGCTACGTGAGTGTTGCATCCAGACAGTGTAGATATTGTTATGATTTCTTACCTAACTTTATTCATTTTTTCTTTCTCTCCTTTCTCTGCCTTCCTTCAGTGATAAAGAACAGTGAGTATTTTATAACACTTATTTATTTATTTTTTACAAACTGTATTTTATCTCTTTCTCTGATCAAGGTGGCTTTCCCCTAAAGAGAGATGGTTAAAAAAGGAACTAGCAAATTTTAAACATTTTTTTAAAAAGCTAAGTTAAAAAAAACACCCACACCCATCTTAGGAAAAAATATTTATAAAATTAAAAAAAAAACTCATACCAAACTTGATAAAAGGATGGAAGATATTTCTTAGCCCTCAATTCTTGTTAGTGATTTGTAGGATTTCAGCAAGTTTATTGGCCACTCAGTGCCCTTGTTTCTGCAGCATTTTGCTGGAGAACACTGTTCTGCGATAAGGAAAATGTTAACTCTAATAACTGCTACCATGAATAAAAGATGACGATGAACAGGGCAGGGCTCTGGATTGTTATGTGCTGTACATTTGGTCTTTGTTGCCTCATCAGAGGTCATCCTGATTTCCCAGCAAAACACCTTTGAAGCAGAGGCCCTATCTTTTCTCACAACTTTTGTGTTTTTAATTGGATTCATTTCCTAAATATGCATGACAGATTGGATGACGGGTCCAATAAATGAGCAACCAGACTGCAAAGCAGCCCCATCTTCAGTTGCGTGCACACATTCAGAAACTATGGAAAGTCATTTTTACCTCTCTCCCCGCAATCATGGGACTCTGGGACTCACGGTCCCTGTGGCCTGGGACACAGCCCTTCAACTCCTTGAGCCTTGGTTATCTTGTTTGTAAAATAGGCACAATAACCCTGCCCCTCCCTCCTCACTGGCTGGTGGTGGGATCGAATGAGATGTTTGCAGGAAAGCTTTATCAACTGTAAAGCTTAACCAAACAAAGTTAGATGAAGGTGTGAATTACAGCCTTGCCTTACCCTTATGTTTATATAGGACTCTTGCACAACTTTTTCAGCTTTTTTTTTGGAGAAAAATAACATTATCAGGCCCAGAATGCTCTAAAGATTTAGTTAACACAGCTAATACTTAGCCAGGAGACCCAGGAAAATTCTTCTCCCTGCCCTGTGCCTCAGTTTCTCCATCTGTCAGGTGAGAGCTTTGAACAAGCTGCCTTGTAAAGACTATTTGAATGCTCTACAAGCTCTGTTTTTGGCTGGCAAGACCCTGGACAGGCAAGATCTGCTTTCTATGAAATCATGAATATATTATTCAGACATGCTGGAGAGAGATGCTGAGTCATTGTCAGATGACAAATATGAACATCACCAGAGAGAAGTTCATGACTCCAAAAGGTCTCAGGGTTCTTAGAGGCTTCATGAATGCTGCAGGTTGAAAGGTAGCATGTTCATCCTCTTCCCCTCTGTCCTTCATCCCCAGGCTCCTCCCCTCCTTCCCTCCCTCCTTCCCCCCTCCCTCCCTCCTTTCCTCCCTCCCTTCCTCCCTCCCTTCCTCTATTAATAAACACTTACCCCAAGTACCTACTAAATACCAAGCACCATGCTAAGCACCAGGGACACAGTTAGCCAAGTATAAAGATATGTCTAGTGGAGTCTACAAACAAATAAAGGGCCAGTCACCAACAAATACACTCTAGTATGTGCAGAGCTATAATCATAGAATCAGAGTGAACTGTGGAGCACAAAGACAGTCACCTAGCTCAGACCTGAGGGTGATGATGGAGAGCTTCCTGGAAGAAGTGATGTGTAAGCTGAGACCAGGAGAGGGAGGAGCACTACGTGGAGGAGACAGAGGAGTTCCCAGTGGGGGACACGGCATCTGCCAAGCCCAACTGTGAGAGAGAACATGGGATTTTATAAGAACAGAATGGAATTCAGTCTGGCTAAAAAGATTAACAGGACCCCCAGGTCCCGTTGGCATTCTGAGGATGTGGGGGACCCACAGCATCCCTTCTGCACTCCCATTAGTCTGGTTGGGGTAAATTTCATCCAAAGGGGCCTTTATACCAGCTGGGCATGGGCAAAAGGTTCTGTGGTGTGGCTGCCCCTCCTTTTCTTCAGGATTCATTAAAATCCCATTCACTGTGCTATAAAGAGACTTCCTGCAGACACCTGCCCATGTTGGCATCCAAGGGGAAGGGAGGGGGAGAAGAAGAAAGAAAAGAAAAAGGATTAATTTTCTGCACACCTCTGCTGTTGAATGCTTCAGAGCCTTCATGCCCCGACAGCATTTCCATCATCCCACTCCTTTAGGGAGTTATAATTTATTAATAGAGACATCTGGCGAGTATTTATTATGTGACTGTTGTGTGCATGCAATGAAGAATCAAGGTGGGAGGCAGGAAAGATATGGAAGGCTGTCCTTTGCCTTCCATTTTGCCCTGTTTGTATTTCAGGGGGAAACATCTATGAGGGCTTCTACCTGGAGTCTGGGCTAATTTCCTTTTGTCTCGGGGTCCACCAATGCTGGCCTTGGTGGGTGGCTTCATTCTGACCCCTCATGGTGCACCAGAGCAGGTGCCTTCAGGTAGCAGATGAAGCACATTGAGAAGGCCGGGGCCGGTTTCTCAAGTCCTGGACCATCCTCTCTCCAGTCATGATTCTTGGCAATTCCCTTTCTCCTTGTGAGTCTCAGGCATCTGGGAAAATGAGCAGGTTACCACAGTGGTCTTTAGACTTTTTCTTACCAGTGAAAGTCTTTCTTTGAATAATACTTTATTCAGAAGCTAAATCTTTGAGGCAGATAAGAGTGGAGCTGGATAAAGACCTTTAGTGGCTGAAAGCATTAAAAATATCATGGTAAACATTATACAACTGGAATTTAACATAATGCTAAACTGTAAAATAAGGGTAGGAAGTCTAACAAGTTTCACTCTTTTTTTTCTTTTTTTTTGCCATGGTGAATAATGTATCAACTTTCGCTGTGTAACAAACCATCTTAAAACTCAGTGACTTAGAACAGTTACTTGTTCTCAGGGATCTGGGCTTGGTGAGTGGCTCTGTGGACTTTGGCTAGGCTCATTTATGCATCAAAGGGTTGGCTGATCTAAGATGCCAGTGGCTGGAATGATACATTCTTTTCCACATGCCTCACCTTCCAACAGGATATCCTGGGTTTTCTCATGGTGATGACAGGGTATAAGAGTAAACAGAAACACACAAGGCCTTTGGAGGCATTGCCTCTGGACTAGTGCAACATCACTCCCCTGCATTTTATTTCCCACAGCAAGTCCTAAGTCTTGGCTAGATTTAAGGAGTAGGAAAATAGACTCTAGAGCCAGACGTGGTGGCTCATGCCCAGAATCCCAGCACTTTGGGAGGCCGAGATAGGCAGAGAGCCTGAGGTCAGGAATTCGAGACCAGCCTGGCCAACATGGTGAAATCCTGTCTCTACTGAAAATACAAAACACTATCTGGGTGTGGTGGTGCATGCCTGTAGTCCCAGCTACTCAGGAGGCTGACACAGGAGAATTGCTTGAACCCAGGAGGTGGAGGTTGCGGTGAGCCAAGACTGTGCCACTGCACTCCAGCCTGGGCAACCGAGTGAGACACCATCTCAAAAAAAAAGAAAAGAAAAGAAGATAGACCCTGACTCTTTGGTGATCAATTTCAAATTCACATGGCATAGGGCATGGATACAGAGAAGAGTGAAATATTAGGGACATCCTTATAATAAACCATATTTCATGCTTTTACTAAAATATTAAATATTAATTTTTTCCCCAATGTTTGTCGCTTTTTTTCTTTCTAAATTTTTAAATTTTTTTGACATAAAATAGTTTACATATTTTTGGGGTACATGTGATATTTTGGTACCTATATACAATGTGGAATAATCAAATCAGGGTAATAGAAATACGCATCACCTCAAACATTTATCATTTATTTGTGTTGAGAACATTTTAATTCTAATCTTCTAGTTATTTTGAAATATACAATAAAATATTGTTAATTGTAGTCATCCTATTCATTGTGCTACCAAATATTAGATCTTATTCCTTCTATCTATGAGTATTTTTGTACCCATTAACCATCCTGACTTTATTCCTTCCTTCCCTGGAAATGCAAATTCTCAAGCCCCACCGCAGACCTTCTGAACCCAAATTTCCGCAAAAGGCCCAGAAATCCGCATTCTGGCTGGCTCACCAAGTGGATCTTGGGCATGCTAAAGTTTGAGAAGTGATGAACTCTATCACAGGCTGCCCCTCTGCACTGCCCAGAGGCTTGCATAGGTTCAGACCAGTACCCAGATGGGGTTTACATTATCTTTTCCCAGTAAAGGCGTGTAGGTTCTACAGTGGGCAGTAAAATACCTTCTAAAATAATAATAGGTGTATTTCGGGTAGGGGCATACAACCAATTCCCCGCTTCCACCTCAAAGGCAGCTCTGAGCATTTCTTCCTGCAGCCAGGACATGGCACGTTGTTCTTTGCAGATTAGCCAGCGGTAGACAGGCCCTAGAGAGCCCCCAAGTTCTTCATCATCTGGTGGAAATGTGCTTGTTTCCATTCCCATTCACATCACACACACCATCAGCATTTTAAGCCAGTGATGGGCTGTTGGTGTCTCCATACTTTACATTCCCCTAATTAGACCAATCTACTGTGATCCTCAGAATGAAGCCCTGTTAAGCTTGGTGTGGTGATGCACACCTCTAGTCCCAGCTACTTGGAAGGCTGAGGTGGGAGGATTGCTTAAGCCCAGAAGCTTAAGCATGGGCAACATAACAAGACCTTGTTTCTTAAAAAAAAAAAAAAAAAAAAAGCCTCGTTGGAAAAAATATACAAACAAAAAAGATATTTGGAACCAACAGTCAAAGTTCCTGAGATTCATGCTTCCTCTAAACTCAAGAGCCACGGATAGTTAAGATGAGGGGGGCAGGGGGTCTGGAAGAGTTGACTATGGCCTGGGAGATAGAACGTGAGATTGGACCATCTGGCTGCCTTTTAGAAGGGCAGGATAGCATGGTGATTTGGAACGCAAGACATCCCTCCTGGAGTCGGCTTTGCTACTTCAAGCTGTGTGGCCTTAGGCAAGTGATTAACCTCTCTGAACCTTGGTACACTCGAGAGGAGAATAATGTTTACATCATAAGATATTGCAAAAATTCAACAAGAGAGTAAATGTAAACCCTATGATACAAATATTATTAACTCCATTTGACAGATGGATATTACAGTCCAGAGAGATAGAATACTTTCCCCAAAGTCACAGAGTGCCAGGGTTTGAATGCAGATTGATCTGAATCTAAAGCTTGAGTTTTTTTTGTTTTTTTGGTTTTTTTTTTTTTTCCATTGCATCCTAATATCTCAGTAGATTCTGGTCTGGGGTTAGTGTATCCAGATTGAGAAAGGAAATCTGGGAGCTGCAGGAAGGATTTGTCCAGGTTTCTGAAAGTTCATCTTCTCCAGCATTCATTCCTGCCACTTAAAGTCAGCTAGGTTAGTTGGTCTCTCTCTCCTTCTCTCTCTCTCTGTCCGTCTGTCTCTCTGTCTCTCTCTCCTGAATAGCTAAATCAACTAGGTTCATGTTTGTGCAGATAGGCAAGGAATTGATTTGGACACTGCTACTACCATGGCTTTGAGGTGTCAAAGAGTTTCCTGATTTCAAATGCCAGTCAGTGATCCAGGCTGTGCGTTTTGTTTCATTCCATTGGGTTCTTCCCACCCCTGGGTCAGTGACTCATTGTCTTCCCTACTCTTCCCTATCAAAACATTCTATTCATTCATTCTTTCTTCCATTCAGATTCAGTGCCCACTATATGTGCAGTGCTATTAGGTAATTTTTCACTGAATTGCCACTGTGGCAAGGATTTGACACACAGTTTCATACCAAAAATATTTAATAATAAGAAAAAGAAAACACAAGTTCAGCTTTTTGGAGCATTTACCAAGTCCTAGAATCTACACTAAACACTTTATATACATGGTCTAGTTGACCCTCATATGAGCTTGATGAGCTCACTAATAAGTATTCCCTTTAACAGATGAGGAAACTAAGGCTCAGAGATGCTATGTAACCTGTTCCTAAGGTTGCACATCCAGGCAGGGCAGTGCCAGAAAAGGAATCAGAGCTATATGACCCCAAAGCCTACTCCTGCGTCCCCTCTCTTAGGTTACTGTATCTTCATAGCAGCCAGGGCTGTCATTGTAGGCAGCCACCAGGTCTGCTTAGGTTGAAGGGCTACTCTGCCAGCAGCTAGCTAATGAGTTACTGTGAAAATGCCGGTACTCGCCTGGAGAGGCCGTCTCACGAAATGTGGAGTACGTATCAGTTTGCTTGCAAAGTTCCTGGTGCAATTCATCCCTCACTAAAAAGTTAGGGCATCCTGGTAGATTAAGAGGATGGTCACAATAGCAAGGGCTGCTGTGTCCTGGGCATTTGGCATGCACTTTCACATTTAATCTTCCCAAGGGCCCTGTGATGCATGCCCTATTAACATTCTCAATTAACAGACCAGGAAACTGAGGTGCAGAGTAGAGCAGAGGCCCAGCACATACTGCCAAGAAGTGTCAGACCCAGGATTCCACTCATTAACTCTGCCAAGTCAACAAGGGCTCAAATTGGCACATAGTAGGCCCTCTGGGTATTTTCTGGATTGGATACAATTCTCTAACTTGTCCAAGGGGAGCAATACTTTGGTCTCCGGCTTCGGTCTTTAACAAGATCCCAAAACTGGACACAGAGCTGCCATCCTGTATCCAGAAGCCCTTGGCAAGGGTCTTATCCCAAGGACCGATTCTTGAGGCCCTCGTGCCCACATCGCTCCTCGACTCAGGAAGACCTAAACAAGCCATTCTGTCCCCTGAGAGCAAAAGCTTTGGTCTGAAAAACTGATCTTGTTTCTGTCTGTTTGCTTCTGGAATTAAAACATGAAAATCCACAGGAGGCTTGCAGGTTCCCACTGAGACCAATCGGCGACATTTTCAAACACGATGAGCTGTTTGTCAACTATGTGTTCTGGAGCAGAGGATGGGGGAAGGGTTTGGAAAGGTGCCAGCAGCCTCCAGCAGGGCTGCTCATCTGCAGTCTGCAGATGGAGGCAATTATCCTAGGCGGGGCCTCTCGGAGACCCCCAGCTATGCTTATGTCTCTGGAGCCATGTGCGTTCAGATGCTTGCATTTCCTGTGCACAGTAACACCGGCAATGGTGTGGTGGTGGGGTGTGAGCCATTGACTTTAGGTCAGGCTGGCTCCTGACAAGATTGTAAGCTGCAGGAATGTGTCCTTGGAGGGTCTTCACTGGGAACTAAGCCTAGAATCTCACATGTGTTCAGTTTTGGTCACTGAGCTGCTTTGTAATGGCAGGAAATAAATAAAGGGGGATCAGCAGAGAAATCCAGGAAGAGACGTGGCGGCAAATAAGGGAGAATTAGGGGCAGGTGAAGTGTCCATTTCCATGAAAACTGGTGAGACTCGGGAGTGGCTGAATTCCATTATGACTGGGGCTCTTCGGGAAGGGTAGGTGATCTTCATTACACAGGAGTCCACTGTATCCTTTAAAAGTAATGGGAAGAAACAGCAGGCTGAGGGATATTGGCACACCAAATGGAAGATCTTCCCAACAGCATGGCACAGGCTCTGCATAAAGAGAGTGAGGCCTCCATCACAGGAGGCATTCAAGCAAGGATGGAAGGATATCTGTCAGGAATGCCACAGCAGGCAGATTTTAAAGTGATCCCCACCTCTTGGTGTTCATGCCTTTGTGTAATGCCCTGACCCTGGGTGTGGGCAGGACCTGAGCCTTGCTTCTAGCCTACAGAATACAGCAAAGGGGATGAGCTGTCACTCTTGGGATCACATTATGTTATATAAGACTCTGTCTCGGGTGACAAGAGCTAGAGATGCTCCTTGTGGACTTGATGAAGGAAGTGGCCCACAGGATGGGATCAGAGAGGTCCACACGATTAGGAAATGTAGGCAGCCTCTGGTAGCTGGGGTAGGGACTCTCTCAACAGCCAACAAAAGGCCATGGCCCTCAGTCATACAGCTGCAAGCAAATTAATTCTGCCAATGACACAAATTTGCTTAGAAGCTAATTCTTCCCCTATCAGGCCTCCAGATGAGAACATGGCCCAGCCCATACCTTGATTGCAGCCTTGTGAAATCCTGAGCAGAAGACCCAGTTAAGCCAAGCCCAGCCTCCTGACCCCTAGAAACTGTGAGAAAACAAATGTGTGTTAGTTTAAGCCCCCACATTTGTAAGAATGTGTCATGCAGCAATAGAACATGAATCCAGACACTGTGGGGAGGGTGCTACCAGTCTGTCTCTATCATCCTGCTGGACTGGGTTTCCTAGTTATCTGATAACAAATCATCTCAAAAAAGTGGCTTAAAATTATAGAAACCATTGATTATTCCTCACAATTTCTGTGAGTAGGAATAGGAGGGTGGCTTGGCTGGGCAGCCCTGACACAAGGTCACTCATGCAGCTGCAGACATGTCACCTGGGGCAGCAGTTATCTGAAGGCTTCATAGGGGATCGAGGAGCCACTCATGTAGCTGGCAGTTTGGTGCTAGCTGTTGGCTGGGGGCCTCAGTTCCCCTCCACGTGGGCCTCTCCATGGGGCTGTTTGAGTGTCCTCACAACATGGCGGCTGGCCAAGAGACCAAGGTGGATGCTTCAGTGTCTTTTATGACTTGGAAGCCACACAGCGTCACTTCCACTGTATTTAGTTGGTCACACCGGATCAGCCTTGATTCAGTATGGGAGGGGACTACACACAGGAGGGTATGAATAACAGGAGGCAGGGACCTCTGGGGACCATCCTAGAGGCTGGCCACCATACTGGTCTTCTTTCCCTCTAGCATGCTGCCTGCTTGCTCTACTCCAGCCTTTTTGCAGAGACCATTCCCTTTGCCAGACTCAATCTCTCCCCTCCCTTCCATCACGCCTTCAGCTTATCTTTGAGGTCTCAGCAGGAATCAGCCATGACTTTGTGGGGCCCAAAGCTTATATACTTAAGGGGCCCTCTTCAAGATCAAAAAGACAAAACCAGCTTGCTTCTGCAAACTTTCCTGATAACATGACCATTGCTAGGGCCCATCCTAGGGCCTCGGGAGGTACCTGTGCGAACAGGGGGCCCTGAAGCTTCATCTTCACCAGGATCACAATGAATTCTCCTCACTTGCTCAAGAAGCTCTGCCCAATCTCTAGGCTGAGTAACCTCCATTGCTTCTGTCTCCCTGCATGTCACCTGTATAATTAGGCATTTAACATCTCCTTTGGCCACTAGGGACCAGGTCTTATTCAAAAACTCTTTTTATGTACTTGCTGTCAGAGAATGATCTAAATGCATGGACACAATAGAGAACCAGGGCCAGATAAGGTCCGTGCCATCCTGTAATCTATGTTCTGGTGGGAGATAAAGGGGCAATAAATATATAACAAGAAAAAATTTAAAAGATAACTTCAGCTAGAGATGGGTGCAATGGAGAAAGTGAACCAGGGCAATGAGAGATCAAAGACAGCCTCTCTGAGACCAGGATGATGAGAGGGAAGATCCAGGGAGATAAGTGTTCCTGGCAGGGGGAACAGCAAGTGCAAAGGCCCTGAGGCAAAAAGAAGACTTGGGCATTTAAGATTGAGCAGAGAGGCCAGTGCAGCTGGAGCCTAGTGACCAGGGGGAGCAAGGGGCAATGAGGACAGAGGGGCAGGTAAAGGACGGACCAGGTAAGACTTTGCAGAATAAGCAAGAAGTCTGGATTTTATTTTTATTAAGGTAAAATTCACATACCCTAAAAGTAATCATTGTAAAGCATAAAATTCAGTGGCATTTAGTATCTTCGCAATGTTGTGCAACCATCCCTTCTGCCTAATTCTGAGTTTTATTCTAAGTCAATGAGACACCACTGGAGAGTTCTGAGCAAGGGGTTTGAGCAGTGTTATCATGTGCTCATCCCAGAGGCATCCCATCCAAGGGCACGCGTGGGAAGGCAAGGTGTGTTTCCACCAGAATTTCCCCAGGCAGCGTCCTCCTTCCCTTTCTGGAAACAAGACTTGCCCCAAGACATCTGCTTCCCTTTTCCTTCAAACTCTTCCTTCTCTGCTCTTCAGAGCAAGCTAGCTAAGGTGGGGGGATGGCAGAAGATGGGGAGGAGGGAGGAAGATGGGTTTTTAATTTCCAGCTTCCAATGTCAAAAGGCAATTTCATGCCTACTGCTGTGATTAGGCCAGCAGAAGGGACCAAGCCTGGCGGCTAATGGGGGGCAGGCTCCTGAGGATTCAGAGTTCCTGATTTTTCTCCCTCATAGGGACAAGAATTTCTAGTGGTGTTTACCCCTGCCTTCCACTCCAGTGATGCATCTCAGAGCCTTGGGTCATGGACCATGGTGTTAGTGGAGAGGATACTAATTTGTCATAGACCACAGCCTTAACTCTGTTCCCAGCAGCCTCTGATTCTCTGAACCATTGCCGGGGCCACAGATCCCATTCTTTCCGTCTCATGGAGGGTAACTGTGCAGGCTCCCTGGGTCTGAATCCTGCCCCTGCCACTTGCCAGCCATGCATCCTTGAGCAAGTGCTCTAATTTCTCCATGCCTCAGCCTCCTCACCAGGAAATAGGGACACAAACAGCCCCTGCCTTGTAGGGGTGATGTGAGGATTGAATGAGGTAATGCAGGCACACAGGGGACTTACATGAGAGATAATAAGCTGAGGCGGGCACACAGTGGGCATGTGTGAGAGATAATTAGGTAATGTGGGCACCAATAGATGTTATGTCAGTGTTCGCTTAAAAAGAAAAGGCAAAAAGAACACAAGATAGAACCCAAAATGTTACCAGAGACTTCGAGGCTGGAATTCTAGACATTTATGTGAATTCAAGAGATTTTTGGAGACCTAGTTGGCAACCAGTTTAAACTTATTTTAAAAAGCTATGTGGCCCCCAAAAGCCATCTCTCTGCCAGGCAGATGCTGTGGTCAACCTGGGACCCAGGACTTCAGACTTCCTGTCCTGAATCATTTCCACTCCAGTTGTAGAAGTCTACTGTTCTGGAATCTTTTTTGAAATATCTTTACCCTCCAGGTTTCCATGAGCTTGCTGAAAATGTCATGGAGTGTCTACTGTGTACTAAGCACATAGCAAAATAAACTCATTAGAAGCCTAAGAGGGAAGTATGTGTGTCCCATTGCAGAGAGGAGCAGATTGAAGCTCTGAGAGAGATGATCCTTTTGTCCACAGTTTCCCAGACAGTGAGTTTCCCGGCAGGAATTTGAACTACTATTTTCTGCCCACCCTCACACCTTCCCAAATTTCCTTTCAGGCTCCAGGCAGGCTGGTCCGTCCACCCCGGTGGTCAGCCTGACAGGCAGAGGAAGCAGGAAGAGCTGACTGATGAGGAGAAAGAAATCATCAACAGGGTGATTGCTCGAGCTGAGAAAATGGAAGAGATGGAGCAGGAGCGAATCGGGTGAGGCTTAACGCTTCCCATTCACCCCAGAGCTGCTGTGGCAGGAGGGTGTGCTGGGCTGGAGCAGGGCTTTGGCCTCAAACGGGGTGTGCTGGGCTGCCTCTGGGCTTTGCCATTTGTGACTTACGGGGCCACCTCCCCGCCCCACCCCCTTCCCCACTGGCAGACGTGGGATCTTTGTTGCATGAGTTGGGAGAGCTAGGAGAAGAGAAAAGGGACTAGAGGAGAGATTGGGCTGCGAGTGAGGAGGTTCTTGGCTGGGGGTGCATTGAAGAAGGGGCAGGGGGAGGGGTCTTGTGATAGGGAAAGAGGAGATGTCATTGGAGGCTGCAAGAAGCGGGGTGGGTGTGAGCATCAGGTGTCTCAGCTAATCACAGCTGCATAGGGATGTGTTCTGGAGATGAGAGCCATGTAGGTGTCAGAAGGTACAGCTGAGGGCAAGGTTAGGAGGACAGAGAGTAGGTAAAAAAGAGTGTGTAAAAGAGAGAGCATGTTTGAAATTAGTTACTTAAGACAATCGGAGAAACCAGTCCTATAACAGTCAGGCAGCATGTGAGTGAGGAAGCAGAGGTTAACCTGATGGGTCCAGACTCCAAGAACCCGGGGTCCCATGCCAGCTCCCCACTTGCCTGCTGTGGATCTTGGGCATGTTGCTTGACCTCTCTGAGCCCCAGTTTGCTTACTGGCAGAATGGGGGAAATAACAGTAATTATCCTATAAGACTCTTGTAAGTGTTGGGATGACACATGCACAGTTCCTGACCCAGGCTCTGGTGACACTATGTGTTTAATAAATGGTAGGAAGGAGGGGAAAGTGGGGCTCAGAGGGTGGGGATAATGAAAACATGTTTGGGAGAGAAGCAAGGCTTATAAGAAGGATGTGTGAAGAGTGGAAGAGAGTGACAAAATCAATGAGCAGGGACAGTACTGGAGAGCAAGGAGTGGCATGGGTGTGGGCTGGAGCTGGGGGACTGGGGAAAATGTGGGGCATCATCAGGGTGGGAGGAGTGACTGAGAGAAGGGAGTGAGGGTATGTGTTTGGAGGACTCTTGGTATAAATGGAGACTGGCTGCCGGGATACAGAGAGGCCACTGGAGTGGTCTTCCTAGACCCGAATATCAAACAGGAAATGGGAAGGCAGGTTGCTGGGATACCACCTCCACCCTATGCCCCTACCCAAGCCCTTCTGCCAGGGGAAGCCATTGCCAACTGCTTACAGCGGATTTGGGCACTGAGATGCCCACTGATTCCCTACCCAGACACTCAGCTGGGGGTTAACGAGGTTCTTGGATGGAAAATGATGCTCTGGGGATGCAGGAAGTGGATGCCTTTGATTTGAGCCTCTGCAGATAATTGCACTCAGGGCAGGCTAGGGAAATAGGGGGTGTTGTTGACAAGTGACAAACATCTGCCACAGGATGTGTCAGCTTCACACTTGGCCCTCTGTCAGCCTCCTCGGGTGGTCACGGAGGGGATAGGTCTGAGAGGCTTGCTTATGGAGTTAGGTTTTTATTTTGCTTTGCTTTTTAAAAGATATTTCAGGAGTGGGAAGTTCTCCAGACTGGCAGTGTGTGTGTGTGTGTGTGTGTGTGTGCATGTGTGTGTATGTGTGTGTATCTTTATACAACGATGGGCCTCAGTCATGAGGGAAGGAAAGATATGTATGTTAAAGGTAAACGGTGAAAGCAAGAACTCTGTTCAACCTTTTTCTTGCATGGCACTTACCACCAGCTATCACATTTTATATTTTACATATTTTCTTTAAGTATTGTACGTCTCTCCCCATTAGATTAAGATTCCTAAGGGTAGGTATTTTTGCCGGTTTTGTTCACTGCCATATTCCCAAAGCCTGGTACATAATAGGTGCACAGCAAAATATTTGTTGAGTGAATGAATGAACATGGAAGATGAGGCTATCTCCCAACTTCTTTCTACATTGCCTGTGGCCAAGAGGCTTGGGAGTTTATAGTCTTATCCAGGGTCCAAATTCCCAGGGAAAGTACTCTGACTGGCTTATGTCAGATACTATTCCTTGTCCAGTCAACTGCAGCCAGGCGTGCCAAGCCCAGTTGTATCAACATGGCCACTGGGCTGCCTCTGGGGGTCAGGGGAGGTCCTTGTGGACTGAGCAGATCCCAGCTTAAATGATCTAGAACAGGGTAAATGAGGTCCCTGTTTTACCTTCAATGCCCTGCTGTATTCTCCCTACCAACCTGGTGACATGGTGGCAGAGCATTGTGGTTAAGAGCTGGGGTTGCACAGTCAGGGAGATCTGGGTCCAAATTCCAGTTCTGCCACTTACCCACTGCATGCCCTTAGATAAGCCACTTTACCTCCCTGTGCCTCAGTTTCCTCATCTGCAAAATGGGGATAACATTATCACATACATCTGAGTGAGTATTTAATTAGCATGCAAAGGATTATCGTGGTGAGTTGTACAAAGTACATGCTTAATAAATAATGGCAATTATTTAATGGTGAGGTGTTTTTTTTTTAATGAGAAAGCTGATTTTTGACACTAGCTGAAGCCTTTGTTCTAGAAGTCTGCCCTGAGACTCCTGTTTGGCAAGTCCTGAAATTCTAGCAGCCCCTGGCTTCCCCTGAAGGAGATTTGAGAGGCTTCCAGGGGAGCTTGGGCCAAGTCTTTGGTGACAGAATGTCCCTTTGCTGAGACAATGTGTTTTCTGCCTGGCTTCCCAGAGTGGGGAGGACAGTCCCGGAAGATTCTGGCTGTGGTTGTTCCACAGCGCCCTTCCTGCAGCCAGCCCTTGCTGGTAGCATCGCCAGAGGCAAACCCAATGCTATTTGTGTCTTATAAACTCAAACCTGCCCTGATTCCTGTTCCACCCACACTTCCCTGGGAGGGGATCAGAGAAGAGTCAGATGAAAGCCAAGTGAAACATCAGACATGGAGCCAAACTGAAAATGGGGGTGCTAACTGGGGCTCCCACTGCAGAACATGAGGATCTCAGTTAGTGAGCTCTTGGGACCTCAGTTCCCCACCCATCAAATGACTCAGTCTCTTTCTCAAGATTCTTCCTGCTCAGAATCTACAGTATTTTGGGGGTGTCTGGTGAGGGGCCTCACACCCTATTGCTGGCTGTACCTCTCAGAGTAAATGAGCTCCTTCTATGTTGAAATCGCCAATGTAGCTGTGTCCCTTACTGGGTCCAGACATCAGCCCCATGATGCTGAATGTTCTTTTCTGTTATCTGAGTGAAAGCTATCTGGGAGAGTTATGAAATCACTGTTGATAAACATGATAAATAATCATCATGATGGATGCAATTTATTAAGCACTTACTAGGTATGTGCTTAACTCATTAACTGCTCCTCTCAACCTTGTCAAGTAAGCTATTATTATCCCCATTTTGCAGGTGAGGAAACCGAAGCTTAGAGAGTTTAGGTCATTTGCCCAAGGTCGTATGCAGGCAAGGTACACATCCCTATTGGCTGACTCTCGGAACTATGCTCTTAAATGTCTGAGATGTTTTTCCTGAAGATGTGTTGCAAATTCCTAGGCTCTGTAGAACATGGAAATTTTAATTACTCAGGTTTGGAGGGGACATTTTGAGAGCTGGAAGTTGAAACCCTTTCTGTGCTGGCCCAATTATTATTTTCAGCTCTTATTAACCTGTCTTTACCTTCCAAAGCTGCCAGAGCTAGTCTGCATGCTGCTGTGGTTCTGAGAGTTCCAGGAGAGAAATGCCCTCAGGCTTACCAGGAAGCATTGCCTCCCTGGGGCAGTTTTGCAAGGGTTAGCTGTCCCAGGGAGCCCCAGGCCATGCGCAGCAACCCAGAGCAGCTTCATTCCATGGAGCTCATGGGCTTCTGCCAGGAGGAATCTAAATCTTCACTCACCACTCAGTTCACAACCCAGCTCTGTTCTCTTCAGCTTCCCAGGAGGGAGAGAGGATGGCCAGAAGAGAAACTCATTAACCAACCTCATTTTGCCCCCACATTTCTTATATAAGTGCCAAGTGGGATTTCAGAATTTATTTTGCATGCCCGACTGCTACAGATTTTCTATATTAGTTAGGACACTTTGCTCACAAGAAAGGAAACTAATTCCAGCTAGGTTGTTTCGGTCATCTATTGCAATATAACAAACCACCCAAAACTTCGTGGCTTAGAGCAAAACAGTGTATTATTTTCATGATTTTATGGGTTAAGGATTCAGACAGAGCTCTGCTGGGCAGGTTTTCTGCTTCAGGGGACGTGGGCTAGGTTTGCTCACTCAGCTGCATTCAGTCAGTGGTTGGGCTGGGCTGGAAGGTGCAAGAAAGCTTTACTCCCCCGTCTGTACCTTGGTGCTCTTCAGGTAGCCCCTCTCTTTGCATTTCATCCTTCCTTATTCATTAGTCTGGCCTGAGCTCCTTTACATGGCAGTTGGATCCCAAGGGAGCAAAGATAGGTGTTGCCTGGTCTCTTAACAGCTGGGTCTGGAACTGGCAGGGTATCATTTCCATCACTTTCTATTGAGGACAGGAAATAGATCCTATCTCCTTATGTGATAAATGGCATGTGCATGCAGAGGAGGAAGGCATTATTGGTGGCTATCTTTATCCCATTATGTAGAAAGAGAAATTTGATATAAGGGTTCAGAGATATCTCCAGGGATCTGAGGACAAGAACACAGCCTAGCCTCATAAAAGGCCTACTTCTCATCCCATATATTAGAAAATATAGCCACGCTAGCTAGAGTCTCCCAGTTTTTATAGCTCTTCTTAGTCTAAATTCCAAATTCCTACGGAAGGAACTCTGATTGACCTAGCTTGCCCTAGATGCCTGCCCCTCATCCTATCAGCAGTGGCCAGAGGTGCCAGGCTAGACACACGTGGCTGCTGAGCACTTCTCCTGAGCATAAAAGGGCCCCTTTGTGAGTTGCAAAGCCACACCTAGGTTACTCACAGGACTTTTAGAATGTATTAAGTTTGGAATTAGACATTTGCCTCCAAAATTGGTTTGCATTTCCACCTCTCTCCCTGGCATTGGTAAGGCCCTCTTTATCCTTATTATATTTCTCTCTGTCCAGAGCCTCTCAAAGGCATTTGCTCACATATCTTGCCTGTGAAGGGACTGGCAGTTGGGTGGCTTCCATTCGAGGTCAGCTTCCCTAAACAGATGGGCCCAAAAAAGTAATTAGGATTTGTCATTAACCTTGGCATCCAGACGCCGTGATGGAGGAGGAAGTCAGAGAGACTTGTTGTTGACAGGATCTGTCACACCCCTATCACCTTCCCATCTTGATTCCACCTTCCCCTGTGTTTTTGGCATATATTTTTTCCAAAATATGGACAGAGGGAGAAGTGAGTAATAATGCCTGGAACTTGCTATGTCTAATTATCTAATTAGGCAGACATCTGTCCTATGGCTTGACAAGCCAACCATAAGCCAGGTCATACTCTCCTCTTTCTAAAGGAGGACTCTTCTCCCGCATTTAAACCTAAAGTCTTCAACATTCTATGGATGGGAGTCAGGGACTTGGGGGCATTCTGATATTATCAACATATTTATGCATGTGTCTATGTGCATTTTTTTCTCAAGAAACATAGATTTTATCAAGTTTGGGGGGACTCTGAACCCTCCAGTGTTGGGGATTATTGAGTAGTACCTCAGTTTTCTCAGGGATTGGACCAGTGCTTTTTCCAATGTCCAGCTAGCCCTAATATGTTATAGAATCTGTTTGTATAAGGTGAAAATATGGTTGGGCATAGTGGCTCATGCCTGTAATCCCAGCACTTTGGGAGGCCGAGGCGGGTGGATCACTTGAGGCAAGGAGTTTGAGACCAGCCTGGCCAACATGGTGAAATCCTATCTCTACTAAAAATACAAAAATTAGCTGAGTGTGGTGGTGCATGCCTGTAATTCCAGCTACTCAGGAGGCTGAGGTACATGAATCATTTAACTCAGGAAGCAGAGGTGACAGTGAGCCAAGATCGTGACACTGCACTCCAGCCTGGGTGACAGAGCAAGACTGTCTAGAAAAAAAAAAAAGATCAAAATAGAAGTTTTCTGGATTCCTTAATTAGCTCGATGCCTGCCATAAAAGAAAGAACAAATACATGTTGAATGAATAATGCATACTAAGTGAACCATAAACCCAACTAAGATGCTTATCAAATCACTTTACCCTTACGGCGTCCCTCATGGCCTCCCTGACCTCATCTGTAAAATGGGAAGTTGGATGGGATAGTCTTCAAATCCCTCTAGCTCAGGGCTTCTCAAGTTCAGCACTATTTATGTTTTGGGACAGATAATTCTTTGTGTGGGGGCTGTTTTGTACATTGTCAACTGTTCAGCAGCATCTCTGGTCTCTACCCTCTAAGATGCCTGGTTTAATTCCCTACCCAGTTGCAACAACTAAAAATGTCTCCAGACACTGCTCAGTGTCCCCGAGGGGCAAAGTCACCTCCTGTTGAGAACCACTGCTCTAGCCCTTTTGTTGGTGGAGAAGGAATGGGAGATGAAATGGACTGCGATTTTTCTTGCAATAGTAACTCAACTTCTAGCAAAATAATCACAACGGACAACTCTTATTGGCATCATGTGCCAGCACTGTGCTCAGAGCTTTATGTAGATTCATTTATGTAAACTTCACAGGAATCCTATGCAATAGCACATATTACAATCATTCCCATTTCACAGATGAGGAAACTGAAGAACAGAGAGGTTTAGCAGCTTGCCCAGAGTCACACAGTTAATAAGTGGTGGGGACTGGGATTATGAATCCGGGCTGGCTGGCTCCAGAATTAGGCTCCTATTCTGCTATTCCATAGAGAAACAAATATTTATCTCCAAGCCCTGTGCTAGGAACTTTTAAATATCATATATTTCGTTTAATCCTCATAATGTCCTCACTGAGAGACAGACAAGCATCTCTGCTTTACAGCTGAGTAAACTGAAGCTCAGGGAAGTTAAGCCACTTGCCCAGAGGCACACAGCCTTTATGTGGCCAAACCAGACTTTGAACTTGAATCTGTCTTTCCACTTTATCCTATTGCTTTTGGAGAGTACAGGTGGGAAAGGCAATTGATGGATGATTTCGGGGATTCAGAGAAGTCAATAATGACAGGGTATCTCAAACATTTATTGAAGTTAATTGATCGTTTCATATGTTTCTTCATTCAGTTGAACAGTTCATTCCTCTTTACCACAGTGATCCTTGTCCCCTTCAGGCCTCAGCACCACATTCTCCCAACTCTATTTTCCATGACAGGAAAGGGCAGGGAGAAGGGTCAGAAAGAACCCCAACCATAAGCACTGACATGAAACAAAGATTTCATTCTTCTAGCCTCTGGGCAGCTGGACCTAACTTCCAAATCCAGCTCTTCCACCCTTGAGCCCTGTACACTTGGGCAAGTGAGTTCCCATCTGTGTGCCTTGGTTTCCCCATCTGTAAAATGGGAGTGAATAATAGAGCTTCTCTCCCAGATTGTTGATGGCTTAAGGAAAACAATGCATATAGAGTACTTAGCATAGCACCTGGCACAGTGAGCACTCAGAAACAACAATCACAACTATTGCTGTTCCTGGGTTTGTCATGACACAGCACCTTGCCCAGCATGGACTGCACTAGCCCAGCTGAGCCCTCCAGTGGTCTTTCTCTCTTGGCTCCCTCGTCTCCGACTCTGAACCAAGGTGACCTCCTTCCCCAAAGTGCTGAGGCCCAGGCAGGAATCCCATTCACCAGTCCCTCAAGGAGACAGATTGAGATCTAGGGCTCCCCAGGTGGTGACAGTAACAAACAACAGGGAGAATTAATGAGTCTGAAATGCACATGCCCTGCATGCCAGCGTGTGTCTTCCTGATGGAGCAGCTCAGTCATTTAAGGACAGGTTCCTGAGAGACCCTGGCATTAGAGCCTCAGGCCAGCCCCCATCAGAGCAGCCATTTCCCCATTCCCAGCAGATGGCCCAATTTTGACTTCAGAAAGTGCCAACTTTAATAAACTCAACAGTAATATCCCCCTACTTGGCAATTAGGGTGAGGTGAAGAGCGAGCAGGGATTCTGGAATTGATGGTGTGGTGTGTGGTGTGTGTGTGTGAGAGACAGAGAGAGAGAGAGAAAGACAGAAAGACAGAGAAAGAGGCAAAAATCAGAGAGAGACAGAGAGGGGCAACATGACATTGTACCCACTCTCCCACTTTGCTGCGTTTTTCTGAATGGTGAAATCGTGGTCAGCCACTGCTTCTAAAGGCAGCTGCTCTGGCTGCATCCCATCGGTTGGTGGAACCCCAGCTTTTGGCCATTTCCTCTGCTGATTCAGAGACTGGCACATAAACCCATCACACTGGGGCAAGCAGGGTGCAGGGTGTCTCTCCCAGGCTCTGCTGCACACCACATGAAGCCTACTTTCTGGGACAATTGTACATCCATTAACCTTTTCCTCGACACGCATCAAGATGTTGCAGCAGTACGGGAAAGGTCAAAAGTAGTTACTTGAATGTTTCTGAGGTCAGTTTGGGCTTTTTGTGGGAGGCTGAGCATCAGAAATAAGCAGAGGTCGGTCCTCCACTGAGCTTATGACCTTACTCGAAGAAGGCAACTGATTGGATCTGATCTCTCTGTAAGAGCCCAGTGTGTACAGACATGCATGTAAAAGTGTATTCTTGCATGTAGGTTCTGATCACACATGTGCATGTGTGTGTGTGTGTGTGTGTGTGTGTGTATTCATAGCCGTAAGTACACATGCCTCTACAGGCGTGCCTGTGGATATATATGTGTGGATGCATGTGTCATCTGTGTGTGTGTGTGTTTAGAGATAGATAGGCACTTGAGTCCTATAAATTTCTCATCAATGTGGCCCCTTTAAAAGCTTTAGAAAGACAGACTTCGCAGGCAGATGATAGCATCCTGGTTACCCAGAAAAAATATGAGTACAGGGATATATAAAAGCTACAGATTTTTAGAATAAATAACTAGCAGCAACCATTACTGAATAGTTACCATGTTCCGGGCATTTTACAAACACTATCTCATTTTATCTTTGCAACAATCCTAGGAGGTAAGGGCTTTATTTCCCTAATTTACAGATAAAGAAATTGAAGCTCGGAAAGGTTAAGGAGATTTCCTGGGGTCACAGAGCTGGGAAGCGGCAAAGTCCAGATATAGGGCCAGGCAAGCTCACTCCAGAATTGGCACCCCAACCCCTGCGTCATAACTGCTTCCTACTAAATCCTGAAAGTGAGCACATCTGCAGGGGTGTGTGTGTGTGTGTCTGTGTCTGTGTTGGCATGCCTGTGTATCGGGAGTCTACGCTTTCTTGGGGCTGCATGTAAACACCTGAAGAAAGTGACCGGAACCTCACAGGGTCAAAAGCTTGGCTTGCCTGACATCCACAGCCAGTCAGGGAGGAATTGTTCTGCAGAGGAGAGCTAAAGTTGGATTCAGACCCAAATCAGGCTCTGGTGACTGATGGGGCAAAAATGTGGGCGTGGCAGGCAAAACAATGGCCTCCCCCAAAATGTTCACATCCCAATCCCTGGAGCTTGTGCATATGTTACCTCCAGTGGCAAAAGGGTCTTTGCAGCTGTGATAGTTATGAATCTTGAGATGGGGAGATTATCCTGGATTATCCAGATGGACCCCATAGGAAACAAGGGTTTCCTATGAGAGGGAACAGGAAGGTCAGAGTCACGGAGAGATTAAAAGATGCCCTACTGCTGGTTTTGAAAAGGGAGGAAGGGGCCATGAGCCAAAGAATGCAGCTGACTTCTAGAAACTGGAAAAGGCCCGGGAACAGATTCTCTCCTAGAGCCTTCAGAAGGATTGAAGCCCTGTCAATGCCTCCACTTTAGCCTTGACCTCTAGAGCTGTTAAGATACATGTATATGGTTTAAGCCCCGAAGTTGTGATAATTTGTTCCAGCAGCCACAGAAAGCTAATAGAGAGTGATTCCTTGAAACCTGCTGGCGTGCAATGGCATTTTGTGGCCCTCCTGATATGCTCTTTCACCACCACTGAGTTAGACCCATTTGGACCAACCTTGTAGTTTCAAAAGACTTGCTCAGCTCCATGTGTACAGAAAGACCAGAAACCTGCCTGCTTCATTCTACCTGGAACAGCCGCAGCATCTGAAACTCTCACTGCACTGAGCCTCCCAAGGGCTCCATTCATCTGTCCAAGTGTTGTCTCTAAATGGGACTGGGTGTAGTGTCTCATACCTGTAATCCCAGCACTTTGGGAGGCTTTGGTGGGAGGATTGCTTGATTGAGCCCGGGAATTCAAGACGAGCCTGAGCAATATAGTGAGACCTCATATCTATAAAAAATAATAGCTGGACGTAGTGGCACGCACCTGGAGTCACAACTACTTGAAAGGCTGAGGTGGGAAGTTTGCTTGAGCCCAGGAGTTTGAGGCTGCAGCGAGCTATGATCAAGCCACTGCACTCCGGCCTGGGTGACAGAGTCAGACCCTGTCTCAAAAAAAAAAAAAAAAAAAAAAAAAAAAGAAAAGAAAAGAAAAAGAAAAAAAAAGGCGGGCGGGGGTGAAGTTGGGTCTCCTCCACTGAAAGCCCTTGCATGCAGTCCCATCAGTCTTCAATACAAGACCCTGCATGGAGTGGTCCCTGCCATCTCTCCAGCCTCATCTCCCACCATTCAGCCTCCCAGCCATGCTGAGCACCTCTCACTTCCTTCGCACATGCTATTCCCCGGTTTCTCTGAGGACCTGTCCTGACTGTTCCTGTCTCTCTCTTGTGAGTTCTCATAGCTGCTCATACTTGTCCTTCAGGGGACTTATGATGATTATGGCAATTTGCATGATTTTTTAAACAATGTCCGATCTCTCACTTGAACGCCAGCTCCATGAGGGCAGTGATCTTGTTGTTTTGCTACCGTTGGATCCTCACTGTCTACTTGGCACATAGTAGGTACTCTATACATGTTTGTCAAGTGAGTGAATAGCCCATCTGCCTCCACTGGGATGGCAAGGCCAGACCACGTTGGGAACCTGCTTCTCACCACCTCCAGAGGCCATCCATTGGTGCCCAGAGGAAGGGACATACTCCTGGTGCCTCTGGGAGTATCCTGGGAATTGGGATGTGCCCACCTGACTTCACTGAGTAACCAACAACTCACCTTAAGCACCCAGCCTGGTGATGGATGTTCCCAGGATGTCAGGTGTGAGTCGTCATCATAAAGTTAATCAGGCATGTAAAGACATAGTAGTGAGTGTCAGCCACTTACAGGGTTCAGCTAATTGGGCACTTAATGTGAGAGAAAGGGATGGAGACATTAGATAGGTAAACAAAACCAGGCAGGCAAATAACACCAGGCAGCCAATGCAGACAGGGTCTACTCTTAGTCATCAAGGGTCCTTCCATTTCAAAAAAAAGAGGAGAAATCTCAATGTTTCTGTCTCAGGATCTGAGAATCCGGAATGCTGCACATGAGAGGAAACTTGAGCTGCAGCTCATCTAACCCCTCTTATTAGAAGAGGTTTTTTCAAGGTCATTGACTGGAAAAGAGGTAGGATTCAAACCCGTGGCTTTTAACCATCGGCCACATGATCTTCAAAAATGCACTTTCTTCTCTGATGTAAAAATAATACATGTTCATTTTAAGAAAGTCAAGAAAGTATAGAGGAGTCCAGCTAGTTGGGTGCATTAAAGAGGGAAGTAAAAATTACCCATAACCCCTCACTGCCTGGTGATTATCGCTGTGAATATCTTGGTGTGTTTCCTTCCTGATGTATATATACATATTTGAGTGCACACAATGGAGATATTCAGGTGAGCATGTTTCAAACCCAAACTCACACCCTGTTCACAATCCTGCACTCTGGGTTTTTGCTTTTTCCCCAGTTAACACAGCAAGAAGAGTGTGTTTCCATGGGATGTGTCTCACCACCTCCTTTCCTGTTTCTTAAAGTGTAGCCAGGAATTCACCAGCAGATTCAAACAGGGAGCCGCTTTAAAATGCAGGTTCCTAGGCCTCCCCCAACCCCATAGAATTATTCTCTGAATATTGAACATTCTCCCCAGCTGATCTAAATAGACCATACATTTTGGGAACATTCCCCCCACACAGTGGCTCTCAACAGGACTTCATGCTTAAATTCTGATATCCAGGCAGAATTAGATCCATAGCTGAGAAGGTTTAGAGTCAGGGCCGGGCACTGGCGTTTTTCTTAACACTGGCTGATTGACATGCAGTGAGGGTAGAGAGCGTCTCCCATACACATCTAGGGCTTCCCTGCCAAGACTGGTAAAAACACATCTTTCTTCTGGGGTGAAGATGCTGAAACCCACTTGTGACACATGGTCCACCATGACCCAATTTTGACTTGGCTTTTTGCAAAGTTTTATTTCCTAGTTTAAAGTCTTAAGCTGTTGGGGTCTTCCATGTTGTGGCTCCAGCATTTGAGCTGCAGGCAGGCTGCAGGAAGCTCCCTGCTCATTCTCAGTCTTCTCAGGGAGAAGGAAGATCTGCGTGTCCCCACCTCACACGCATCCTCTTTATTGGTCTGTGTTAAATTCATGGATAATGAGGGTCCCTGAGCTGAGACATCTGAGTAATGATCTTAATTCTGTTGCATTTCTGTGCCATTTGCTGCTGCTGATAGGAGCTAATGAGACACTCCCTGAATAACGTGTGTTCATGAGGCCTTTTGGCGTCCAGGAGTTAATGGTGAAAGGAGCAGGCAATAGGTGGGGAGGCTGCAGTGTGGGTTTGCAAGTGACGGGCAAGTCCACAGCCTTCATTTTCCAGGAAGAGGCAGAAAACCCTTTTAAGTTTCCTTAAAGCACACTGCGGTTTAGAATTGGATTTGTCCCACGCCCTCTTCCTGAGCTGCTTTGGCAAAGCTCAACATGAGGCAGGAGGCTGTGGGGATTCGTGGAAAGCAAAGATGATTGACTGAAGCAGAGAACTAGATTCTAGCTGTGGCTGAGTGACCCAGGCAAGCGGCCCACTCTCTCTGTGTTCTGAGACCCCCAATGGTAGAGTGAGAAGAACACAATCTATTTTCTGACTAAGGCAGTTGATGAAGGTGAAAATAGTTGGGAGCAACTGTGTATAAGAAAAATGTCCCCATGCAACTGCCATCCCCCGCCTCCATGAGCCCACTTCGTTGTCTCATAAAATTTTATAATTCTATGGCATTGAAAGGCATCCTGATGTTTAACAGCTCTAGTCAACTTCAAACTGTTTTTTTAAAACCCTGGAACCAACTTTCCAAAGGAAATCTAATTCAACAGTCCAAACAAACAAAAGAGATCAATGCAGACATGCTCTGTATGGAATGAGGTGTGGTAACCCCTCAAATTCTCTCCCACCATGCTGCCACAGAGGTTGGCCCCTGAACTGGCTCTATGAAACCCTCGGGGTACCATGAAGCACAGTTTGACAACCACCAATGCAACCCAATGCCTCCTATTTTCCAGATGAGCAAATTGAAGTCCAGAGAGGCAAAAGTCCAGGCTAAAATCAAGATTTGTCAACCGCATGTTGAGGGTTCTTTGGGGAAACACAGTGATGGAGCATTGGTTGGGTATCTTGTCCCAACCTCGGGCAGTGAGAGGTAGATGGGCTAGAACCAGCCAGGGTAACTGCATATGTGCAGCTTGGTGCTTGCTAATGATTCAAGGGCCCTTGGTGAGGGAAAGGCAGGGAAATCGAGCAGGGTGGAGGTTGGCCTGTTCAAGGCGATCCCCGTGGCTGTACATGGCACGTGGCTGTGTGCACAGCAGCATGGTGTAGCAGCTGAGAACAGGGACTTGGGAGCCGACTGCCTGGGTCTGAGTCCCAGCTTTCACCACTTCTTAGCTGTGTAACTGGCATAAACCACTTAATCTTTCTGTGTCTCAGTTTTCTCATGTAGTAAATGGAAACAAAAGTAATCCTTAGCTTCTAGTGTAACTGGGAGGAGTCATTAAGAATATCCCCGGCTGGGTGCAGTGGCTCACGCCTGTAATCCCAGCACTTTGGGAGGCCAAGTTGGGCAGATCATGAGGTCAGGAGATCGAGACCATCCTGGGTAGCACAGTGAAACCCCGTCTCTACTAAAAATACAAAAAATTAGCCAGGCGCGATGGTGGGCGCCTGTAGTCCCAGCTACTTGGGAGGCTGAGGCAGGAGAATGACGTGAACCTGGGAGGCGGAGTTTGCAGTTAGCCGAGATCGCACCACTGCACTCCAGCCTGGGTGACAGAGCAAGACTCCGTCTCAAAAAAAAAAAAAAAAAAAAAAGGATATCCCTGTGGAGGGCTCACATCTGTAATCCCAATGCTTTGGGAAGCTAAGGCAAGAGGATCATTTGAGACCATGAGTTTGAGACCAGCCTAAGCAACATAGTGAGACCCCATCTTTCCAAAAGAAATGTTTTTAAATTAGCCAGGCATGTAAGATCGTACCATTGCACTTCAGTCTGGGCCACAGAGTGAGACTCAGTCCCCCCCCCAAAAAAAAAGTTAGCCGGGCATGGTTGTGCATGCCTGTAGTCCCAGCTACTTGGGAGGCTCAGGCAGGAGAACTACTTGAAGTCAGGAGGTTAGTGCTGCAATAAGCTGTGATCACACCATTGCACTCTGGCCTGGATGGCAGAGCAAGGCCCTATCTCTAAAAATAATAGTAACACTACATAAATAAAATGAGAAAATAAAATTTAAATAAAAAGCTGTGCCTGGTACATAGTAAGTGCTCAGTAAACACCAGCTACTATTACAGGAGTTCTGAGACTATGGACTGGGAGCTTGTTCCTGCTTCCTGCCCCCTCCAATCATCCTATAGAAATAACTTCTAGGGAAGATGGGGTGGGTGGGGGGAAAATGAGGAAGAATTGAGAAGAGCGTGCTGCCTTCAGCTCTGTGCATGGTGCCTCCTCAAGCGGTTCTGTGCAATCTGGGTCACAGCGGAGGCTCCAGAGCCTGCAGGCTGCCTTTGGCTCTTCCCTGGGCAGGGCAGCACCTCTCTCGAATGGAACACAAAGGGATAAGCTGCTATTTATGGCATTGTAACTCAGAGCACTCTGAGGGTGTGGCAGGAGCAACGAGGGCCGTGGGGAGAGTCAGCATTAAGTGCCTGCCAGGCAGGGCTACCAGGGGCCCTCTGGGCGCTGTGACGCCCAAGTCCCTCCCATCGGCTCTCCCCTGCCATGTATGTACACAGCTGGGACCCAGTCCATGGAGGGGTGGGTGGGGTCCAGCTCTATCTGGGTTCACTGGCTGTGTGTCTGGAGGGAGTCCTCATTTGAGGGATGGGCAAGGAGATGACTTCAAGCTGGTGGGAAGTGACCCCCCCAAAAAAAAACCCGAAGTGGAAACAGGATACCACAGTTGTCATTCAGTGTGTGGTCTGAAACCAGTGGCATCATGTGCCACCACCTGGGAGCTTTCTAGAAATGTAGCACCTCAGGCCCCACCTCAGACCTGGTGTTTCAGAATCTGCATTTTAACAGATCCCCGTGTCATCTGCGTGCATATTAAACTTAAGAAGTGCTAGGGTCATGCGTATGAAGCATGGGTTCTAGGGGGTTTTGTTGTTGTTTTTTTGAGACAGAGTCTCGTTCTGTCACCCAGGCTGGAGTGCAGTGGCACAATCTCAACTCACTGCAACCTCCGCCTCCTGGGTCCAAGCGGTTCTCCTGCCTCAGCCTCTCAAGTAACTTGGACTACAGATGCACACCACCAGGCCCAGCTAATTTTTTTGTATTTTTAGTAGAGACGGGGTTTCACCATGTTGGTCAGCCTGGTCTTGAACTCCTGGCCTCAGGTAATCCAACAACTTGGCCTCCCAAAGTGTTGGGATTACAGGCGTGAGCCACCATGCCCAGTTATGGGTTCTAGTTTTGGCTCTGCCACTTCCTAGCTGTGTGACCTTGGGTAAGTCATTTAACTTCCCTGTGCCACTTTCTTCACCTGTAAAATGGCATAAATAGTAGTGCCTCCCTCCTGGAAGTGGGTGGCAATGCACTTCATGCCATGCTAAGCATATAGTGAGTATCACTGAAGTGTAAGCTGTTATTATGCATGACTTGACACTCAATGTGCTTACTTTTGCTAGATATATGTGTGGGGAGTGAGCTGCTCTCGTTCATTCATTGATTTAACTAGCATATACAAATCCTCACTACAGCCTAGGCACTGATCCAGCACTGGGCACACAGCAGGGAACAGAACAGACAAGGTGCCTGGCCCCGGGGAACTCATAGCCCAGCAACAAACCAGAGATTGTTTCACAATCAGCTAATTATTTAATGCAGATAATCCCTATAGTTAATTCCAAAGGTGCTATGAGGAAGTACCAGGTTGCTAGTAGAGTGAATAAAATTGGTAGTCAGAGGAGGCTCTCAAGAGGGAGTGCTATTCTAAAGAATGAGGACACTCAGGCCAGGCGCAGGGGCTCACGCCTGTGATCCCAGCATTTTGGGAGGCCAAGGCAGGTGGATCACAAGGTCAGGAGATCAAGATAATCCTGGCCAACATGGTGAAACCCAGTCTCTACTAAAAATACAAAAATTAGCCCAGCATGGCAGTGTGTGCCTGTAGTCCCAGCTACTCAGGAGGCTGAGGCAGGAGAATTGCTTGAACCCGGGAGGCAGAGGTTGCAGTGAGCCCAGATCGCGCCACTGCACTCCAGCCTGGGTGACAGAGCAAGACTCTGTCAAAAAAAAAAAAAAAAAAAATGGATACTATAGGCAGGGAAAATATAAAAGTGTGTGTGTATGCAACAGAGAGAGACAGAGAGATCACAAGTGTGTGTGTTTGTTACACAAGGAACTGAATGTGCTCTGATGCTGAGGCAGACAGAACTGAAACTGAAAGATCAGTGTAACTAGAGCAATGATTCTCAAAACCATTCTTGAGCATGCATCAGGATACCTTGGAGGACTTATAAAATACAGATTGCTGGATCTCTATCCAGCCAAATTAGAATCATTTAGCTTCCAGGACATTCATTTTCAAAGGGGAGTCTTCCTGCGTTCTGTTCACCCTCTACCCTTTCCTTAAACTGTCTGTACTTGACAATTTCAGGGCAGAATTTCTAATTCAGTTGGGCTGGGGTGGAGCCAAAGAATTCGGTTGGGTCATTGAATGTCAGGAGAGGAGGGGGTCAAGGAAGACCCCCCTGCCACGGGGTTTCTGGTTTGAGCAAGTATGTAGATGGTGGTGACATTTCCCAAGACTGGGAAGCAGGTTTGCTAGAGCTGGAGATGGAGAGTAGCCAAGATGAAAAGTTGAGTTTGAAAGGGTAAGTTTGAGATGCCTATGAAGACATCCAAGTAAAGGCATGATGGAGACAGATAAATAGACCTAAATAAATTTAACGCTCAGAAGGCAGTTTCTGGGAGGAGGTGACAGAAGATAGAAAGGACTAGATAAGGTTCTTAATCCAAAGTCAGTAGAATAGATGGGACTTTGAGGGGTGTGGGAGGGAGGTCTTTGGTATTCTGAAAATGCGTCAGAATTTTATGTGCATGTGCCTTTTCTTGGGGAAGAGTTCACAACTGTCATCAGACGCACAACAGCGTATGACTCAAAGAAGGTGAAGACTATCAACCTGACACTGTGGGGTATGCTGGTGGTCCCCAGTCCTACAAGGTCCTTATTTACCTTGTCTCTGCTTCCAGACGCCTGGTGGACCGCCTAGAAAACATGAGGAAGAACGTGGCTGGAGATGGGGTGAACCGCTGCATACTGTGTGGAGAACAGCTGGGGATGCTGGGCTCTGCCTGTGTAGTATGTGAGGACTGTAAGAAGGTATCATCATCCTCTTCTCCCTTCTTCCCTGTGCAGCACCTGCAGAGGGGAAAGTCCTAGGCTCCAGCTGTAGGGGTCACTGGGTCTTGGGGGTGGAGCTTGGATCCTGAAGATCACTTGCCAGGATATGGTTTTTTTCTGGGATGCTTCCATGCCCTACTGTCTTCCAACGTAACCCTGATCCTGGTTCCTCCCTGGAAGCCACTCTGAGCCTTCTGTCTCTTAGAGCTGAGCTCCATCCAGGGTGAACTAGGGAGCCTGTGGCAGAACATGAGCAATGATTGAGCCTGCAGATATCCTGGTTGTACCTTAGCAAGTTATGTGTCAGTTTAAAGAGCATGCTAAGCACATGTTTATACTTGTGTGTATGTGGAATGCTTTCAGTTTTCTCGTATCCTGGGTTCTGATACAAGAAACTTAGAAAGCCAAGTTAGAATTATTTGGCTTCCAAAGCATTTGTTCTCAAAGGCGAGTAATCCTGAACTCTGTTCACCCTCTAACCTTTCCTTAAACTGTCTGCACTTGACAGTTTGGGAGCAAAGATACAACTGTCCTGGGGTCTGCCGGACTCCAAGAGTTCAGTTGAACAACCCAGCTGGAGACATCTACAATGTCATCATCTCCAGCTTGATGTCACATTTGACATGTAGAATGAAATCTTGCGAAAAGTTTATTCTGAAAAACTTGCCAGTCAACTCGATAGCGAGAATTTTGTGACCCATTAAGTTTTCCTAATTGTCTTAACTTCCAGGAAATTCAATAAAAAATACAGTATTTCATCACACAGCCATGGCATTTTCTCAGATAACTTTCTTCTCCTTGGGGAGTTAAACTTCTAGTCATAGTCTAGGTTGTCTCAGGTCCGTTTTGGAAATAAAGAGGAAATAAATTAAGATAAAAAATGGATATATGGTCATTCCTCTTTAGAAAAAAGTATGTCAGTG
The DNA here is from genome assembly GCF_000001405.40 of Homo sapiens. Lineage (NCBI taxonomy): Eukaryota > Metazoa > Chordata > Mammalia > Primates > Hominidae > Homo > Homo sapiens. The sequence continues at coordinate 112,866,488 of NC_000012.12, forward strand.
ATCTCCCCAGTGTGGATGATGAAAATTCAGATCCCACAGGGACTCTTAAAGAATTCCTTCATCCAGTGCTTGGGAATGACTCAAGTTCTTATTGGAAACAAGACTCAAATTGGAGTTTTATTCTAACTGGCCTTGCTCATAGAAGGAAGTGGGAGAAATGGAAGCAAGTTCTTCCTCTTTACATCCACCAAGAGAAAGTGGGGGGCTACGTTGCCATGCCTCCCATGAGCATGGCTCATCTGAGTGTGTTGGCTGTGTTTCATCCACAGAACGTCTGCACCAAGTGCGGAGTGGAGACCAACAACCGCCTGCATTCTGTGTGGCTCTGCAAAATCTGCATTGAGCAGAGGGAGGTGAGTGCCCTGGTCCCACCTGGTGCCTAGATCACCCTCCTTTCTTGGCCAGCTTAAGAGGTGCCTTAAGAGGTTTGTATGAAAGGACCCAGCTCAGCAGTGAACATTGACAGAACAACCTCAGAGTATTTGGATGAATTATTTCTCCTCCTCTGCTTCTGTGACTTTTTTTCTTCCTTCCCATCCTCTCTTCTTCCCTCTCTGTTCATCGCCCTCTGGCCTCTGTTCTTTCTTTGACCCCATTTCTCACCTTATGGGTCTTCCTCTCCCAACATCTTTCCTTTCTCTCTCTCTATTCCATTTCTTATTTCCATTTTTTTATTTCCTCACACTCTCCTCTTGTTTGAGCCCTTTTCTTCCTCTAATCCTTACTGCTTTTTTCTCCCCTTTCCTCATTTTGTTATTTCTCACATCTTCACACCCTTTTCTCGGCGATTTCTCTTTACTTTGTCCTCTTTCTTTCTCCCAGGCATCCTTCTCTTCCCCAGTCCTGCTTCTTACTCATCTTACCCCAATTAAGTCCTTTTTCCTTCTCCCAATTTTTTCATCCCCCATCCACTGCTGCAGAGTCCTGCCTTTGAAACCGTGTTTCAATAACCATGTTCTCCTCAGTTTCTGTCAGGGGCCTGGCAGGAAAGCATTGGCACACTTCAGTAGGATAATCAAGGGCTTGATGAAGGTGTTATTGACAAAGGTCCGGGCAGAACTAAGAGGAATCAGCAAGGGTTGGCGAGTCACCCTAGCACCAGCAAAAACAGGTTTGCTGTTTCCCCTTCTAAGGCTGAAGAGATAGAGGAGGGAATGGTTACCAGAAAGGAAGATAGGTGTAGCCTAACAGGAATGCAGTCACTGTCCAACTAGCAGTGGGTTGGGGGGAGCCAAGGAAATAAATACCGTAGTCCCACCCTCCTCTTTGCTACAAACTCTTTATTTGCCCAGAGAACTCTTCAGCAATCCAAGCTTTCAAGAGGCTTTGTTGTAATCCCTGGTGCTCTCCTTGACCAACTAAACCTGAAGACAGAGGTCAAGGTTTATTTGGTGGAGTCCAGTTAGTGCAGCCCATACTGGTCAGCCTCCTGGGGCACAGAGCAGGGTGGAGAATGAATCTGACGGGGCAATGGAAGATGTTTCACACACCGTCCTAGGTGTGCTGCTCTGTTCTGACCCACAGGGCCAGGAGAAAGGCCAGAGGTCTTGGGGAAGTTGTAGGTAGATCACCCTCTTCACAACAACCAGTGTAGTGGAGAGCATGCCACATTTAAGAGATGGAAGACTTGGAGTTGAGCCCTTGTTTTTCCATTCTCTAGCTGTGTACTATTGGACCAGTCCTTAAGATTTTGGATATTCCCCTTTCTCCATCCAAACTCCACTTTCTTCATGGGTAAACTGAAGCCCTTTCTACTGAGTTTTCAGGGTGGATGGGCTGAATAAATATGAATTGTGCAGGGCTCTGTAGTAATAATAAAAGTGTGCTGGCTATTGTGTCAGTGTGCTTTGGATGAGGAGGAAAGATAAAAATGGGCACTCATGAAGGTAAGAGCAACAGCGCTTGGCTGCCACATCTTCAATCCCTGTCTCTCCTCCCCAAGGTGTGGAAGCGTTCTGGAGCGTGGTTCTTCAAAGGCTTCCCCAAACAGGTCCTCCCACAGCCTATGCCTATAAAGAAGACCAAGCCCCAGCAGCCTGTCAGTGAGCCTGCTGCCCCTGAACAGCCTGCTCCTGAGCCCAAGCACCCTGCCCGGGCTCCAGCTCGAGGTAGGACAAAACAGGTGCTTCTTTCAGGACCAAGGACAGATCTTAGCCAACTGGTCTACCTGAGGGATGGCCTGACATCATGTCTGTGTTTCCACCCAGTTGTTGCATGGTCAGCTTCTGCACTTGGGTCTAGGACTCCTATATCTCCTTCAGAGTTCACCATAAATCGTTACCAAGAGGGTAGCACAGGGAACTCTCCAGCAATGCCAAGCCGCCCAGAGGCTTCATTGTCATCCCTGGTGGCATATCTAGTGTACAAGAGGTGGAAATTAAAATTAGGAACTGAGAGAGACTTTCACCACCAAGATCACACTGGAGCCTGGGAGAATACTCGGCTTGCTGAGAAGGCCTTCCTGGACCCTGTTATTTCTCCTACTATCCATAAGCAAGTCTGATTTGGACTAATTAAAAGTGAAAGATGAATAGAAGGAAATCAGTAAAAGAAAATTACTGCTACTAAATTGCTACTATTGACATTATCACTATTATCCAAGTATTATGATTAATTATTAAAATGATTAAGAGGGAGAAGCAAAACAGTAAAAATTTTAAAAAGCAACCATAGTAAAAATACATTTTAGTTGGACTAGACCACTAGGACTGACCAGATAAAGCCCTTGCAATAATTTCAATTGATGCTAAGTGATAAAATCTGGACTAAATGACAATTCCAGATTGAGTGCAGGCGGTACTTCTGAAAGGAAGGGTACAGCGTTTTTCATAAGATAACTTATCAAGGCACTTAGCACAATGCCTGCCACCTAAGAGGCATTCAACAAATGTTTTCTTCCTGACAAGGCAAGAGCAATTTCTACTCCTTGCAGAGAATCACCAAATTGCCAACATATATTGCATCCCTGAGGAGTCCCCAGTTTTCACCACTAAAATACTCCTTCTTCCTAGTTCTTCTAGGCTGAGAAGGCTGTATAGCATAATTGTTCTTTATAAAGCCTGTGTATGCTCATATGTGTTTGTGCATGCAAAAAAAAATGTGAAATTGTAAACAGGAGCTAGATCAAAGAGGAGGTTGGGAGAAAGACTTTTAATTTTTAAAACATATTCTTAGGCAATAGTCAATGAACCCCTTTGTAGGCTTCTTAAGTACCGGTTTTCCAGACACCAGAAAACCAGTACTCCTCATAATTTGTGTTTTCTTTCTCCAGGTGACAGTGAAGATAGGAGGGGCCCGGGTCAGAAGACAGGTGGGTTCTGCTGACTCTGTTTTGTCATTTGAGACACGAATTCACCTAATTCCCTCGATGCCCTTTCTCTACTCAATTCATGCTCTTCTTTCCAGGCCCTGACCCAGCCTCTGCTCCCGGGCGAGGAAACTATGGGCCTCCCGTGCGCAGGGCCTCCGAGGCACGAATGAGCTCATCTAGCCGAGATTCAGAGAGCTGGGACCACAGTGGGGGTGCTGGAGACTCCAGCCGGAGCCCAGCAGGTGAGCAAGATGGGCAAATCCAGAGACAGTTCTCTGGATAGGGAGACTCAAAAAGAATGAGGGGAACTGTGTTTTTATTCATTTACTTAGGCAGCATTTATTGAGTCCTACTGTGTGCCGTGTTCTATTCCAGATACTGGTTTTAGTCTATGGTAGAGGAAAGACAGGATTCAGAAACAATTCTGGCTCTAGACATCCATAATTTTGGTTAGATCCTTTTCTTGCTGTAATACCATATGTCAGAAAGCATGATTTTTTTTCTCCCCGCCTCAAAAAAAAAAAAAAAAAAACCCTGGGGGAAAAATGCCCCTAGGCTTCGAACAAAGTAAGGATGCTTCACTCTCAAAGATCTCTCCAAGTCTCCCCTTGGCAATGGCCTCTGCTGTCTGGGCATATGGCATAGGTCAGCATGGCCAGGATGTCACTGACATGTGCTCGTATTGGGTACCTCACATTTCTGGCCTCACTCTTGGTGGGTTTATTTGGTAAGAGTGCCCATTGGTAGGGGTCATGGAGCACAGGACTTTGAAGGAAATGTCTACCATATTGGAACATCTTTGTTCCATGGCCCCTTGTCTGAGACCTCAAAGCGGCTTCATTTCTTTTGCAGGAAGGGGCTGTGTCTGGGTCTAAGTCAGATTGGCTGAATATTTATGTCCCACATACATCTGGCCTTCTCTTCCTGAATTGTGTGTTTGTAGCTTAGCACTTCACTTCCTCTTATTGGCAACAGAGCTGGGCACGTACCTTGTGCTTCATAATCTGCCCAGACCTCCCCCCGACAATGAACCTATGGTTCAGATGAACAGAGAAAGAGGAACTTCCAGATCCTCAACATCAGGAAGTATTTATAGAGTGTTTACTATGTGCCAAATGCCGTCTCAAGTTCTTTTACATACATTATCTCATTTAATGTTTGCCACAACTCCAAAATCCACGTATGAGACTTCTGTTATTCGCATTTTACAGAATGGAGAAACTGAGCCTCAGAGAGGCGATGCTACTTGCCTTAGGTCACACAACTGATAATTGGTTAGAATGAGAATTAATTCCCTGTGTGTCCAATCTCAAAGCCTGTACTTTTTCTTTTCTCTTCCAGAGGTAAAGTTTCTTTTGACAATGCCTTTTAAAATTATTTTTTAATTGTTGTAAAATATATATAACATAAAATCTACCATTTTAACCATTTTCATGTGTACAATTCAGTGGTGTAAAGTACATTCACACGGTTACACAACCATGCCACTATCCATCTGCAGAACTTTTTTGTCATTACAAACTGAAACTTTGTATCCATTAAATAATTCCACACTCCTCTCTGCCCAGCCCCTGGTAACCACTCTTTTTGATTCTGTATCTGTGGTTTTGACTACTCTAGGTACTGCGTATCAGTAGAATAATACAGAATTTGTCCTTTCATGACTGGCTTATTCCACCTAGCATAATGTCTTCAAGGTTCACCCGTGTTGTAGCATGTGTCAGAATTTCTTTCCTTTTTAACCCATTATGCTGGAGGTTGCAATATTTTTGTGTGAAAAACCAGACCTTGACGGTGACTTTGAGCAGTAGGATATAAATAACTCCTACAAGCTTAGCATTCCAATAATGGAACACTGGGCATAAATTAAGAATACACAATATTCTATTGTGTATTTATATAGTGTATATATATATACACACACATAATATAGTGTACATATATATACAATAGAATATATAGAAACAGTATATATAATATAAAATATACAATATACAGTATACGTTATATATTATATACATATAGTGTATATACACACAGTGCATATACTATATATAGTGGTGTATATGTATATACATGTATATATACATATATATAGTGGTGTGTGTGTATATATATATTATATATACTACATTCTGTTTATCCATTCACCCATCAGTGGGAGTTTGGTTTATTTCAACCTTTTAGCTGTTGTAAATGATGTCATTGTGCGCCTGACATACAAATATCTGTTGCACTCTGTTCTTTTGAGTATATACCTATAAGTGAAGTTGCTGGATCATATGGTAATTCTGTGTTTAATTTTTTGAGGAACCACCATTCCGTTTTCCATGGTGGCTGAGACATTTTTAGATTCCCACCAACAATGCAAAAGGGTTCTCATTTCTCCATGTCCTCACCAATATTTGTTATTCTCTGGGTTTTGTTTTTGTTTTTAATAAGTCATCCCAGTGGTGTGAAGTGGCATCTCCTTGTGGTTTTGACTTGCATTTCCCTATGATTAGTGATACTGAGCATCTTTTCTTGTGCTTTTGGCCATTTGGATATTTTCCCTGGAGACACAGCTATTCAAGTCCTTTGAACACATTTTAAACTGGATAGTTTGTCTTTTGTTGTTGAGTCATAGAAGTTCTTTATATATTCTGGATATTAATGTCTTATCAGATATATAATTTACACATTTTTCTCTTATTTCATGGGTTGTTTTTTCACTCTTTTATAGTGTCATTTGATGCAAAGAAGGCTTTTATTTTGATGAAGCCCAGTTTCTTTTCTTTTTCTTTTCTTGCCTATGTTTTTAGTGTCATATCTAAGAAATCATTGCCTAATCTAAGATCATGAAGAAGTTCCTTTATGTTTTCTTCTAAGAGTTTTATAGTTTTAGCCCTTATATTTGGGTCTTTGATTCATTTTGAGTTAATTTCCACATATCAAATCCTGCTTTTAACGTCTATATTATTTTGTCTTCTGAGGACAAAGACAGTCATAGGACATTTCTGAACTGGATTTGAATCCCCTGTCCCTCAGGAGTCAATGTAAATATTCGTCTTGTCTAGCTTCTAGCATCCACCTGCTCCACCTTGAGTTGGGTTAGCTGCTACCTTCTCTGAGCTCCCAGGGTGGTGAGACGCAGCCCTAATGCAGGACTTATCACTGTCTAAAGCATTATAGCCTGAATCTCTCTCCCTTGTAATACCAGGGACATGTCTCTCTCCATTAATTTATTATGTTTCCAAATATTTGGAGCATCTACCATAATTTTATCTCTTGCTCATCATTTTCCAGCCTATACTAAGATTCTTAGTTGATTATAGGCTCTCAAATACTTACAGATTTGAATTAATAATCATAATAACAACTTAAACTTATTGAGCATCTACTCTCTGCCGGGTATGTGATTAAACCCTTTGCATGGGTCATACTGATCCAATCCACAGCTCTTTTTGGATAGGTACTATTGTAGTCATCTTCACATAATAGATGCAGCAAAGAGAGGCTAAAACAATCTCAAGGTCACATAAAAGTAATAGCAGGGCTAGTGTTTAACCCAGGCAGTTCACGTGCAGAGCCAATGCTCCTAGCTGGTCTGTTACAAGTTCCACTTGAGGGACTGAGAGCAGCTCAGTAAAACAAATTCCCAGTAAAACTCCCTTGTTCCAGGGCTTAATCCTGGAATCTCAGAGTCCTCCCTCACACACAGTGTGGAAATCCCTTCAGAGGTCTCTGAAAGGCTTTTGATCACCCACATACTCTCTGTCTCCCTACCTCTTGGAGCGGCTTATTCTATTGTTGATGGGCTTCAGGTGTGATTTACACATTCAACAAGATCTGAGATAGATTTGGACAGAAGTCCTACCTTCGGGGCTTCCTGGTTATGTGACCTTGGGCATATTTAACCCCCACTACCTCAACTGCAAAATGGGGAGCACAATACCATGCATGGCATTGAGTTGTGAAGCTTCCATGAGGCGATGTTCAAGGCCTGGTGCATTTGAAGAACTCAATGACTGTTGGGTATTGTTGCATCATAAACTCATCATTTCAGTGTCTGTCTCCTTCCTGTGACTGGGCTGTGCACTCCTGGAGGATATAAGATGGTGTTTTGTTCATCTTAGCACAGGGATTGGCACTTGGTAGACACCCACTGGATGCTTGTTGAATGAACAAATGAATGAATGGACAAATGAACAGGGCCTCAAGTGAACAAACAAATGGCAGTGCTAATGTGGGAACCTGGGACAAGACTTGGTGATTTGTAAGCCCCCAGGCAGAGGTGGTAAAGCACCTTTTGTTATGTGTATTCAAGCATCCATCCAGCCAAAAGTGCTGGATTCAGGAAAGATGGCATCTAGCCCAGTGAGGTAAGAAAAAGCAGGGCTTTCTTCCCAGAACATCACACCTTCTGGGTACCAGAAACTGCTGCACACATCATTCCATTCAGTCCCTCTCTGGGAAACAACAGCATGTAAGGGTCTCTGGCACAGATTCCAGAGGCCAACTGCCAGCGTTCAAACCCTGGCTCTGCAGTAACCAGCCAAGAGACATTAGATGAGCTCAGTAACTTCTCTGTGCCTCAGTTTCCCCATCTATAAAATGGAGATCATAAGGCCCCACCCCATAAGGTTATTAGTAGAAATTAAAGAAGTTCTTATATGTAAAGTCCAGGGCACATGGTAAGCACTAAATAAGTATGAATTCATTATCATTATGAGTTAAGTGGAACTGTTGCCTCCATGGGGCATCTAAGGTTCAGAGAGGATGAGTATCCAGCCCAGGGTCACACAGGCCATATGGGAAACAGCAGGAAGGCAAAGCCAAGTCCATATGAAGATAGAGACACATTCTTTCAATAATAATAAAATAATCTCACCACCTGTCATGTGTCGAGTCTTTAGTACATGCCAAGCACTGTTCTGAGCATTGCCTGTTTGTGTCATTGTATCTTCCCCACAACTCTATCAGCTAAGTGATTATCTCCATATACCAGGTGAGGAAACTGAGGCCCAGAGAGGACAGGTCACTTGAGCAACGTCACACAGGTGGAAGGAGGATTGTAGAACCTGTGCTTTTTAACAACTGCTGCTGCTGTGACTCACCAGAGTCTGAGTATTGAGAAGAAAGAACACACTGAAGGCAGAAGAGTCAGAAAGAGCTGAGCGAGTGAGGAGCTGCCTCCAGTGAAAGTCCAAGGGGCTCACCCCACACCAGCTGAGTGGTCCCAAGCTCCTTCCTGCTGTGTGTGTGTGTGTGACACATAATGGCTGTTTTCTTTTCTTTCCTCTGCAGGTTTGAGACGGGCCAACTCAGTCCAGGCCTCCAGACCTGCCCCAGGCTCGGTGCAGAGCCCAGCGCCACCTCAGCCTGGGCAGCCAGGTACCTGCCACTCACCTGCTAGCACCTGCCCAGGCTGTCACTCGGCTGTGACCCTCATACCTCCCATCCCTGCTTGCAGAGCATGCTGGGCTTTCTGCAAAGCTGCAGCCACAACTAAATCTTAACCTCTTCTAAGACCCTTACAACCAGTAATTCCCTGGGCCAAGAAGCTGGGCAGGGAGTGGGAGGAGGAGGCAGGGAGCATCTTACCCACCCAGTGCAGAAAGTGATGGCACCTCATTCGCCAGTGTTTCCCACCTCAAGGACCAACACCCCCATTTCACAGAGGAGCAAGTCAAGGCTCAGGAAGTTCCCACAGCACTAGGGCTTGGATCCAAGTCTTTCTAAATCCAAAAGCTCCTCTCCCAGTGGGACTGTTTCTGCAGCCTCGGGTACCTTTCTGCCTTCGGGCCTGTGTCCACACCTGTGAAATGAAAAGGAAAAGGTGAACCCCCAAATGATGCCACCCTCTCTGCTGCATCTCTGTTTGTCTCCTCTCCCTGCTCAGGGACCCCAGGAGGAAGCAGACCGGGTCCTGGGCCAGCAGGACGCTTTCCAGATCAGAAGCCAGGCAAGTATCTGCTTCCTCCCATGCCTGCCCAAGTGGCCACCTCTCCCCTACCTCCCTGAGAGAGAGCAGGCAGCTGCCAGAACGTGACTCAGCCTGCACCCTGAGACCTGTCTGATGAGATCTAAACAGCTCCCCCGAGTCTAAAACTTTAGATAGTCCGTACTAAGATTAGCTAGATAGAAATGCCAACACATATAGTTTAGAGCATAGACTACCTGGGTTCAAATCCCTGCCCCTTCACTTCCTGGCTGTGTGACTTTGGACAAGTTACTTAGCTTCCCTGAGCCTCAGTTTCCTAATTTATAAAATGGGAATAATACTAGGACCTACCTCACAGAATTGTTGGGAGGATTAAACAAACTAACACATAGAAAACCTTGGTGGGTGGCCTGGAATATAATAAGCCCACACTGAGCGACAGTGGTTGCTATTAATATATATGATCAATATGCATCACCATCATATGTACCAGTCACAGCTACAAGACACTTTTTGCTTTCTCAGGCATCAGGCACTGTTTTAAGTGCTACACCTGTATTTGTTCATTAAAAAATACTATTATTTGAGGAGCTTCAGATATTATAATTTCCATTTTACAGATAAAGAAACTGAGGCTCAGAGACATTAAGTAATTTGCCGCAGGTCACATGGCCAAGATTCAAACCCAGGCTGTCTGGGCTCCAGAGTCCACACCACTGATTTGTACCCCCACAAGGTCTGTTTTGCTTACATCTGAATCAGCTCGAGGGGCTTATTGTCAAACACAGATCCCAAGGTCCCACTGCATATCCACTGATTCCGGGTGAAGCCAGGAATCCGCATCTTTTGAAAATGTCCCTAGGTGCTGCTGTTATGAAACAGGGATGCAGCTGCATGTTTCCTGTCCTTATCTCCCTGCAGAGGTGGCTCCGAGCGACCCTGGGACCACTGCCCCACCCCGAGAGGAGAGAACAGGGGGAGTCGGGGGCTACCCAGCAGTTGGAGCCAGAGAGGACCGAATGAGCCACCCCTCCGGACCCTATTCCCAAGCATCTGCAGCTGCCCCCCAGCCTGCTGCAGCCCGCCAGCCACCACCCCCAGAGGAGGAGGAAGAGGAAGCCAACAGCTACGATTCGGATGAAGCAAGTAGGTGGTGCCTAAGGGAGAGGTATCTTGGAAAAATCACTTCAGGAGCCAAGCCCAGGAAAACAGGAACGGCTCAGGAACAGCCCTGTCTATCCCCAGACCCCTAATATACCAGACCTAATAAACATATTAACCAAGTGATAGAAGTACAGATTTGTGTTTCTAAATTCACAAAATATCAGCTTCCTAAAGAGTAAGTGCTACATATATTTTTTATTGTGGTAAAATACAAATAACATCAATGGTACCATGTAAATCATTTTAAAGATTGCAATTCGGTGGCATTGACTACATTCTTGATGTTCAGTCTACTAGCTCCTCAAGAGGTTAAACATAGAATTATTATATGACTCAGCAATTTCGCTCCTAGGTGTGAATTTTAACAATTTTTAAAACTCTTTAATGTATATCTTCTAAAAGTAATTTATTAATCATGATTTAAAATTTACTGGGCATTTTCTCTTGCATCCTTATTGAATGCCTACAATGTACCTATCCCACCCAGGCCCCAAGTCCCAGGGATACGCACACACGTATACACACACACACGTATACACACACACACACACACACACACACACACACACACACACCAGTGGCATTTCCCCCCGCTAACCCTGGTGTGCCTGGGGCAGACTTTGTGAGCTGGAGAGAGGTAGAATTGGCAAGTGTCTGCATCCAATATGTGTTGGTGGGTGGGGACATTACCAGTTGTTTCTGATCAAGTTGGAAAACTGGATCCACACAGAAGGAAAAGATCAAGGGCTGTGACCAGCAACACGGCCTTGACCTGCCATGTCATCTCTCCTCACTGTAAAATGAAAAGCACAGCACCACCTCCCCCACAGGCTAAGGGGCAGATAAACTGAGATACCTTCTGGGAAGGTGCTTCATAAAATGGAAATCATTATTACATAGTGCTAAACACCCACGAGGAATTGTTGTTATGCGTATGGACATCAGAGGTAATAAAAGTCCACACGTGTTGGGCACTCATTTTGTGCTGGGCACTATTCTGAGTGTATTCTGTGCATTTGCCTATTTAATCTTCCCTACGAACCTGGGCATAGTTGCTTTTATAACTCTCATTTTACAGATTGAGAGATGAGGCTCCAAGAGGTTGAGGGACTTGTCCAAGCTCATCCAGTCAGTTCAAGGAGGGGCTGGTGGTCAATCACACAGCTGTAGCAGATCAGAGGCCAGGACTGCATGGAAGATCAGCTGTCCCCCTTCGTGCCCTGTGCACTCCCATGGATCATGGGTCTGCGGTCTCAGGAGAAAGGAGAGGAGTCCACCCATCTTGTCAGCCACAGGCTGGTTCTGCTCTGAAAATGCCCTGTCTATGCACCCTTCTGCCTTCCCTCATCCTGGTCCTTCCCTGGAACACTGGCTACTGCTCCTTCCATCGGCCTTAAATGTCCCCAACCCACCAAGCATAGATGAGTCCTCCCAGCCTCATGTCTGTCCCTGTTATTAACTTATCCCGGCTGTTTATTACAAACCTGTCTCCATACTCTATACTCTTCACACACTCACTCATCTCTATATTTGACAATGGTTTATTGAGCATGTACAAAGTGCCTCAAACTGTTCTAGATGCTGGGGATATCATGGAAAAAAAAAGATAGACATGCCAGCTATTCTCCTGGAGCTAACACTCCAGTGAAGAGAGGCAGTTAACATACCAACGAATTCATTTCGAGTGGAGACAGAGCACCATAAAAGAAATAAAATACATTGAGTGACTATGATGGTAGCTACTTTAGAGAGTGATCAAGGAGGGCTTCTCTGAGGAGGTGACATTTAAGCTGAGATATGGATAACGAGAAGGTGCCAACCATGTAAGGATCTAGAGGGAGAGCATTCCAGGCAGAGGGAACAGCAAATGCTGAGACTCATTTATTCCTTCAGCAACTAAGTGAGCACCTATGATTATGTGCCATGTGTTGTGACTGGGGACACAGCAGTCAACAAGATAATCCCAGCTATTGCCCTCATGGGGTTCTCAATCTATCAGGACAGAAAGGCATTACCTAGGCAAGTGCACAGATGATGAACTGATCACAGATGTCCTGAGTGCTCTAAGGTAGTGCAGGGTCTACCAAGATGAGGAACTCACAGCAAAAACCGAGTTTTCTTCTCTTCTGTGGTCTCAATTCACAGCCCAGCCTGGGCATATAGTAAGTGTTCAGGAAATGTTTGCTGAGTGACTGAATATTCGTTATCTTGGTTCCTGTCTCTGCCCCCTTCAGCCACCCTGGGTGCCCTGGAATTCAGCCTTCTCTACGACCAGGACAACAGCTCCCTGCAGTGCACCATCATTAAGGCCAAGGTGGGTGATGGGGACCATGCAGGGAACCTCTCAGGATGCTCTGGCATGGCTAGGAGACTCAGATGGGGATGGATGACCAGGCCTGTCTCCTGTTGTTGCTTGTCTATCGATGATAGTGACGGTGATGAGAAGAGTCACAGTAATTAGGCAAATTCCTTTCTGGGAGGCCTTCCTCCTCCAGGGATCGTCCCAGAGGGGTTTCACTTATCTGCAACCACCTCCTGGGAGTACATGCAGCTGGGCTTCAAGAGCAGAGTTGGCCCCTATCTGCCTGGGCCAGCAGTGTCTCTGGAGGGGATGGTGGAGGTTCTGCCCAGGAGGAGATGACAGCCTGGCTCGACAGCTGACATGGCCATGGAATGGTCCCATCCCTGTGTCTGCCTGAGGCCCCTTCTGCTGAAGCGGCTGTCACTCTGAAGCAGCAGCCGAGACACAGGGACACTAATATGGGCTTCCAAGGGGGCGGGACAGCCTCGCTGCAGGCCCTGGGGGAGTGAGCTGACTTGATTCCAGACCCCAGGGGAAAAAGCTGGGTGAAGCCAGTGCAAACCCCAGAAAGTAATTGACTAGGATTGAACCCCTACCCTGCAAAGCCCCAAGCCTGGTCCACACAGAAAAACAAGCAGGGGCTCAGGAACCAGGTTTCTTGGGTTCAGATACCAGCCCTGACCATTCCTAGCTGTGTGACTTGGGAGAAGTGACTTAAACCCTCTGTGTCTCAGTGTGCCTATTTGTAAATTGGGGATAATAGTAGTGTATCTCCCATAAGGATAGTTGTGCGCACATGTTCCAGTGTTCCCAGGACAGTCCCCTTCTATGCCTGTTGCCTCGCTATAATAATTAATTGCTTCCTTTTTCACTCTTAAAATGTCTCAATTTGAATGATAAATGAGGTATGAAATGCTTAACACAACTCTTAGACCAACACATTCCTTTGCCCAAGTCACTTTTTTATTGAGCACCAATTATGTATCAGCATTTATTGGACATCTATTATGTATCAGCATTTATTGGACATCTATTATGTATCAGCATTTATTGGGCACCTAGAATATATCATCATTTATTGGGCACCAAGTATGTATCAGGATTTATTGGACACCTATTTATTATCACTGTGGCAAGCACTTAGAAGCACTTAACACTGCCCCTCCACCCCCGCCAATAACACAGTGAAGTAAGTGCATATACATTATTTTGTTTCCTTTTTATAGAAACTTCTGAGGTAGGGATTCTTATTAGCCCCATTGTACAGATGGGGAAACAGGCTTAGAAAGTTAAAGTCTGAGCTCACACAGCTGGTAAGGGATGGAGCCCATCTTTACAGGCAAGATCTCATTTAATCCTCTAAGAGCCCCATGAAGCAGGAGTTGCTGCCAGCCCCATTGAACAAGTGGGGAAACAAGATCCAAGGAGATCAATGGACACAATACACTTGACCCTTGAACAATGTGGGAGTTAAGTTAACCCCCTGAGCAGCTGAAAATCTATGGTATAACTTTTGATTCCCTAAAAACTTAACTACTATTAGCCTACTGTTGCCTGGAAGCCTTCCTGACAACATAAACAATCAATGAACACATCTTTTGTATACTTTAGGTATTATGTACTGTATTCTTACAATAAAGTAAGCTAGCTGAAAGAAAATTCAACATTTATTGAGAAAATCATAAGGAAGATAATATATATTTACTATTCATTAAGTGGAAGTGGATCATCATGAAGGTCTTCATCCTCATGGTCTTCATGTTGAGTAGGCTGAGGAGGATGAGGAAGAGGAGCGGTTGGTCTTGCTGTCTCAGGGGTGGCAGAGGTGGAAGAAAATCCTCATATAAGTGGACCCACACAGTTCACACCCGTGTTGTTCACGGCCAATTGTGCATGGTATAAGTGCTGTGCAGAGGGATGACGGGAGCCCAGAGGTGGGACATCTGCCTGGTCTGAATGTAGGGGATGGACAGAGTATGTCTAAGCCCCAGGAATTTGGGGATTGCTCATTTTAACAAATCAACTTAATTCCTACCTACCCTAAGCTTCCTTCCTCTATAGTATCTTATCTGAGCCTCATCCCAGCCCTGATGGATGGAGACACTGAAGTCTTAGAAGAGAATGCAGGGGTCAGGGCCAGAATGCAGGAGCATCCTCCTTCCCCCGACCTTGCCTTTATTCTTCTGGGACATGTCCTCCCATCCTAGCAATAACAATCCAGCCTTGATCCAGTGTGTACCATATGCCAGCACTTTATAGGTGGAATTGCATTTAAATCTCACCACCTCATGAAGCGGGTACTG
Source organism: Homo sapiens (assembly GCF_000001405.40). Classification (NCBI taxonomy): domain Eukaryota; kingdom Metazoa; phylum Chordata; class Mammalia; order Primates; family Hominidae; genus Homo; species Homo sapiens. The sequence goes on from NC_000012.12 coordinate 112,881,490, forward strand.
TTCTTATCCCCATTTGACAGGTGGGGAAACTGAGGCTCAGATAGGTTAAGAAACTTGCCTAAGGTCACATAGCCAGGAAGTGACATGGCCAGGTTTAAAACCCTGTCTCCCATCCCAGTACTCTTTCCATGATACTGCATTTCCCTTCTCTCTCTTTGGAGGAGGAAGCACACAGCGTGGACCAACAGGCAGGACAGATGCCAGGGGCTATGCCCATTGCCGATGACAGCTGAGCACTGGGCCCTCCTGAGGCCCTCACACCATTGCCTCCTTCTCTTGCAGGGCCTGAAGCCCATGGATTCAAACGGCTTGGCTGATCCCTACGTTAAGCTGCACCTCCTGCCGGGAGCCAGCAAGGTACCATATGGCCTGGGCTTCTCTGCAAACCGGGTGCATGGGCCCTGGCAGATACCCAGGGTTCTCAGCTCAGAGCCCAAAATAGCCTTATCTGCCCCAAATCCCCAACCCCACCTCATCCTGTGAGTAGCAAAGCCATTGCAGAGCAAGTAAAGTATGTTCCAGGGGTCATTCTCCCTTGGGTAGGGGCTCTGCCCATTTCTCCAACTCAGAAACCTGGGATCTGGGCAGCTGCCAATGCCAGAAGAGAAGCAGATGCCCTGATGATGCCCTTCATCTGCTCGAACACCTTCAGCGGCTCTCCCACTGCTGACTCTGGCTCACCTCCCCTACACATTTTATGCCCCAACCACACACTCCTCATCTCTCAATAGAAATGAGTGGCTCTCTCCAAATTTTAGGACTAAGCACTTTGGAGAATATTCTCTGAAGCCCTGGCCCTCCCACCCTTCTCTCCCCTCAAGCTCACCGGCTGAGCATTGCTTTACTCTGGGGTTAATTCTCCTCTCTGGGGATTGGCCTACCCAGAGTATATGGCTGGAAATGGAAGTGTGCCTGCCTGGTTTTTGTTTTGTGCTTTGTATTAATTTGACATAGATGTCCTAAAGGCAAAGGTGGCAGTACATCTGTCAAATGATCTTCAGAAAATGCCTGTTAAATACCCCTGCAAGTACCAAATGCGCCATGAGACAAAAGAGGACACATGTACGCACCTGTACACACCGCCCTCCACCCTCAACACACACGCGTATACTTTGTCTCACTCTTTTCTTTGGATCAAGGAAAGACAGTTCCTCACCTGGCCATGGCCAAATTATGAAGTGTTTGGCCCCTGCTCCTCCTCACTCCCCAGTGATGTTTGCTTCTCCTCTAGATGCCCTCCTTTACCCACTCCTAATAGCCAAAGCTGCTTTGCTGAAGAATCTAATGTGAATCATTTGCATGTTAGCATGAATGAGATTTGTCACCAGGCCACCTCTTCTGGGCATAGTTGCATTTCTAGCTTTCTCTTAGAGTAAAATGAAAAATGTTGGCCCCTCTAAGGAATTTTAGGCATGAAGGGTACTATCTGGGGGGAACAGAGAGAACCATCCCAATATCCCCTGCCTAAATGGGAATGGGTGACTCTCATTTCTGTCTCCCTGACCTATAAATGATTTCTTCTCAAAGGAAGATGTCTCTGCTTTCTTAAGGGAAAGTTCAAGGAGGAGGCTTAGTGCATGGAGGGAGAGGGGACCCAGTGTCAAGCATTGATCCATTTTTCTGTGGCCATGATCCTAGAGGACATCCCCCACTCCCTGAGAACATGCATTTGGGAATAACTAAGCCCCTGGACACTCCTATGGGGAAAGCCACCCACCCACCCCACGTCAGCCCAAACGATGGGGTTCCAGGACTGGCTCCCCACTGAGGTAGGTGTCTCTGTCCATCTCTCTCGGGCTCTAGTCCAACAAGCTTCGTACAAAAACTCTGCGGAATACCCGGAACCCCATCTGGAATGAGACCCTCGTGTATCACGGCATCACCGATGAGGACATGCAAAGGAAGACCCTCAGGTACCTGGCAGGCAGAGGGCAGAGAGGGAGGCAAAGGGGAGACTCGGGGTGGGTGGAACTGAGACTTGGGGTGAGGCCCCCAGGGCTTCACTCTAAAAAGATCTCTACATAGTTTATTTTTTTCCTTCTTGTTTACTTTTACCAAAAAATGATATATATATTTGGTAGAACTTTTGGAAAATACAGATAAGTTGAAACTGTTTACTGTTAACATCTTGGTATCTGTTCGTTCAGGGGGTGTGTGTTGGGGGATGGTGCGTGTGTGGGTGTGTATGTAAAAGTTTTTTCCTAATAAAATTGAGTGCTTATAAAAATGTTTATTACAATAGATCATCTCATTAGTACATCTGTATCACTTAAGAATACACTGATGCCATTTCACATTCTTCTACAGTGTTGAATTATTAGGCTGGTGTGAAAGTAATTGCAGTTTTTGCCATTAGAAGTAATGGATATATATATATATCCACTTTTATTTATCCAGTTTTATTTATCCAGTTTACTGTTGATGTATTTGGGTGGTTTCTAGTTTGGGGCTATTACAAATAGTGCTGCTAGGAACATTCTAGTAGCTGTTTCTAGGTGCACAGGTGCACTTATTTCCATATATATATATATGTATGGAACTTGCCTTTTTTTCTTAACAATATATCTCAGTATTACAGCCATGAAAAGACATTTAAATCTACCTAATTTTTAACTGCCTCAGAATATTCCACAGAATGGATTTATCACAGATTTTTTTAAATGTTCTTATCCTTAAATATTACAAATGAATAGAAAAGTGTAGAATATACTAAAACAAACATCCATGAACCCACCCGATACTTGATCTGTTAAAAATCTTGCTATTTTGCTGTGTTTGCGTCAGCTCTTTTTTAAGAAATAAAGCACCCCCGATGCAAGTTGAAGCTCCTTTTGTATATTCTATCTCCCACCCTGTCCTGTCCTCTTCCTTCTCTCCCAAGAGCTAGACACCATCCTGAATTCTTTGGGTATCATTCTCAAGTATGTCTTATACTTCATAATTATGTATCTATAAACAATGTACAGCATTGTTTGGCATGTTTTAAATTTTTGTGTAAATGTTTACCAGTTTATTTAGCCAATTCCCTTTGGGTGGACATTTAAATTGTTTTCAGCTTTTTTCTATTACAAACAAAGTTGCAATGAGCAACTTTATTCTTCCTTGTGTACATATGAGTGTTTCCTTAGGACAGAAACCAAAGAGAATTATTACTGGATCATGGGATATGTGATGTTTTCCAAAACAATTTTACAAGACATGCAAACTGCTTTCCCAATTGGCTGCAACATTATTCTAAGTAAATATTTTTATTGCGGCATAACATTCATTTAGCAAAATGCACATATAAATGCACAGATTGATGAATTTTCACAATAGTGAACATACTGGGCTTAAGGAATGGAACATTCCTAGACTGCAGAAGACCCCCACTGTGGCCCCTTCTTATTGAATGCTCCCCTGGGGTATTCAATATCCTAACATCTTACAGGACAAGTTAATTTTGTCTGTTTTTGTACTTTATATAAATGAAATTTTATTGTGTGGCTCTTTTGTATCTATATTCTTTCATTTAACATTTTACATGTGTATTCATCTAAGTTGTGTGTAGTTGTAGATCATTCTTGTTGCTATTTAGTATTTTATTGCAGGAATATAATGCAGTTTTATTTATCCAGTTTACTGTTGATGTATTTGGGTGGTTTCTAGTTTGGGGCTATTACAAATAGTGCTGCTAGGAACATTCTAGTAGCTGTTTCTAGGTGCACAGGTGCACTTATTTCTGTTGCATATATACCTAGAAGTGTAATGATTGAGCCATAAGATATGGGTACGTCCAGCTTTAATAGAAACTGCCAGTTTTCCATAGTGGCTGTGCCAGTGTGCACTCCTATCAGCCATGCATGGGAGTTCCAGTTGCTTCACAGCCTCATCAACACTTTTTCATTTTGGCCATTCTGGTAGGTGTGCACTGGTGTTGCGTTGTGGTTCCAAATTTCCCTGATGACTAAGTACAACACTTTCTCTAATGTACACTATTACATTTTGTGGTTATTTCATAATTTTCTTAAGCAGTTCCTCCATTGTACAGTATTTGTTATTTCTGCTTTTTTCATAGTTATAAACAATATTGTGACAAACATCTTTGTAGTTAAATATATTTCTAATTTTTTGAGGGTACATAGTAGGTGTATATATTAATATTCATGAGGTATATAGGATAATTTGATACAGGTATACAGTGTGTAATAATCGCATCATGAGTTTTTTAAATGGGTTAAAATAAATGTCTTTTTTAATCACCTCAAGCATTTATCCCTGTGTTATAAACAATCAAATTATACTCTTTTCACTATTTTTAAATGTACAATTAAATTATTATGGACTATAGTCACCCTGTTGTGCTATCAAATATTAGATCTCATTTATTCCTTCTAACTATTTTTTGGACCCATTGTAGTTAAATATTTTTGTACTTGCCTTATGATATATTTGAGGTAAATTCCTATAAGTGGTGCTACAGGGTCAAAAACAGTGATTATTCTCTTATGTCTTTGGAGATGCGTTGCCCTGAAGAAGGATGATATTGTTCACACCCCAACCAGCTCAGTAGAGACAAGTTTTTTCTCCAGTGTTAGACAGTGCAGGACTCAGCTATGAGGGTGTTTGGGCCCTCCAGGACTTTGAACATTTGTTCAACTAATGTTGGTGGCCAAGGAGTGCGGTACTTTTACAGTCCCTTCCTGTCCCCCAAGAATGCCTCCCATGCCTTGCAGGACAATAAGCCCTTTCCTCTCTTAGTGTTTGTCAGGATGAATTATCATGCCGTGACTGGTCCTTTTGGTCTCCTATGGCAGCAGTTCCCAATCTTTCTGGCACCAGGGAACAGTTTTGTGGAAGACAGTTTTTCCATGAACTGGGGTAGGGAGAAGGATGGTTACAGGATGAAACTGTTCCACCTTGGATCATCAGGCATTAGATTTTCATAAGGAGCGTGCAAACTAGATCCCTCACATGTGCAGTTCACAATAGGGTTTATGCTTCTGTAAGAATCTAATGCTGCCACTGATCTGACAGGAGGCGGAGCTGAAGTGGTAATGCTTGCTCACCTGCTGCTCACCTCCTCCTGTGCAGCCAGGTTCCTAACAGGCCACAGACTGGTACTGGTCCATGGCCTGAGGGTTGGAGACTCTTGTCCTAAGGGACATTTCTTATGACCTGCCTTTTTTGTGCCACTGTTACTCAATGCTGTGTAAGGTAGATAACAAAAGGCAATATATTACTATAGGATTCAGGGAGACCTGGATTCAAACCCTGGTTCTACCTCTTATTAGGGAAAAATTATTTAATCTTTCTGGGCCCCAGTATCTTCTCTAAATGGTAAATGCAGTTGTTTTGAAATAGGAAAAATTAAATGAGAAAAGTTCCTAGCCTGACTTTGCAAAAGAGGATGCTCAAATGGCCATAAAGTATATGAGAAGGGGCTCAACTGTTTTAATCATCAGGGAAATGTAAATTAAAACTAGTGACATACTATGACCCATCCAGAAAGGCTAAAATTAGAGACTGACATAATTGAAGTCAAAGAGAATAAAGAGTGACCAGAACCTTTATAAACTGCTGGTAGGGACATAATTGGTGGAACTGCCTTGGAAAACTGTTTTGAAGTTTCTACTGAAGCTAAACTTATGCCTAGTCCATGGCCAGCAACCCTACTCCTAGGAAAATACTCAATAGAAATATGTACATGTATATCCGAAAGACATGAACATAAATATTCCATAGCAGCGTTATTCATAATAACTCAAAACTAGAAACAACCTGTATCAACAGCAGAATTATTATGGTACATTTACACAGTGGAATACTATGCAGCAATAAAAAGGATAAGTTATACTGTGCATGGATGCATCTCACAGACATAATCTTGAGCAAGAGAAGCCAACATAAAAGAGTCTATATTATATGATTCCATTTATATGAAGGTCAAAAACCAGACAAATGACTTCATGTGGCCAGAGGCAAAAGAGTGGCTATCTTTGAGACAGGCAGTGACTAGAAAGGATCCTGAGGATCTTTCAGTCTCTGGAATGTTTTATATCTTGACCTGGGTGGGAATTACATGGGTATATACAAATGCAAGGGTTCATCAAGCTATAAACTAAATTTATGTGCTTTACTGCATGTCAGTTATACTGCAATAAAGAAGAAGTTAAAGGTACTTGGTCCAGTGATAAATAAACAGGAAATCATATTATTTCCACATACATTACACATTCCTTACCAGTATCAGCTGCAACTCTTGGCACACAGTGGTGTCTTAATATTTGTTCCTGTTTCTCTCTCTACCCCCTTGTGTTGGTGGCAGGATCTCCGTCTGTGATGAGGACAAATTTGGCCACAATGAATTTATTGGTGAGACCAGATTCTCCCTCAAGAAACTGAAGCCCAACCAGAGGAAGAATTTCAACATCTGCCTGGAGCGAGTGATTCCTGTGAGTGACTTTACCCTGAGGATCTGATGGGAGGAGGGGAGATTGGGGGAGCTGCCTTCCTCTGGGTCTGAATTGGGGGAAATAGATCCACGGGGTATTGGGTAGCAGAGGCACTGCAGCAGGTCTGCAGAGGAGAGTCAAGATTCCAGCTCACAACCTCAGGCTGCATTCTCTCTCTGCCTTTCACAAACCCTGTGTCAGCATCACTTCGAACATGAGTTCTTCTTGGCCAAACTGGATGGACAGCATGGCAGGGGCAGCATGGGCTTCCTGGGTTCAGAGCCAGCTCTGCCACTTGCTGCTCCATGGCCTTGGCCAAGGGGCTGAACCACTCCGAGCCTCGGTGTTCTTGTCTGTAATGTGGGTGTTATAACAGTACCTGCCTCTTGGGAGGGTTGTGTTTTAAAAAATAACATAATCAAAATAGAACTTAATGCATAGTAAGCACTCATAAATTAACAGTTGTTAGTGTAGGAAATATTGCTGCCTTACCCACCTGTCAGTCATGAAGTCAGAAAGCACCATGTAGATAAACAGCAGACAGCATAGCCTAGAGTTTAAGAGTATGGGCTCTGCAGCCAGACTCTCGGGTGTGAATCCTGGCTCTGCCACTTAGGGTATAACCTGAGGCAAATTATTTAATTTCTCTGGGCCTCAGATGTCTCATCTGTAAAATGGGATACTGTAGTACTAACCTCATAGGATCTTTTAAGGATTGAATGTGATAATACATATGAAGTATTAGAACTGTCATTGTTGTTGTCAGATGTGATTCTTGCTCTTTGAGAAAATAGCAAGGATCAAAGTGAGGTTCTGCAATGGGGTTGCACCTCAGAATTAACCGGGGGATTCTAAAACCAGAGCTTTACAAGCTAAGATTTGTGGGGGTCTCCCCTGGAGATTCTGTTTTAGTGGGGTAGGGTAGGACTCAACAATCTATATTTTTAGAGATAATTCAGGCTGCCTTGCCTTACGTATGGGCCAACTTGGGCCCAGAAAGGGTAGCAAGTCTCCAAGGTCTCTGGGCACTGGCCAGAGTCCAGCTCTCCTACAACACCAGCACCCCTGGTCTCTCTGGGCAGCCTGCCTGCTCTCCACAGGGAAGCTATGGGGTGCAGGAGCATCTTCCCACCAGATGGCCAGCCTGAGGATGGAATGTCTGCATGCCATGCCATAGTTTTATAGTTCAGGCAAAGGAACAAGACCAAACAAGGAAAATTTCAAGGAAGGATTTCCACTGAATTCCAGGCTCAGAATAAATCCTTAAAGACATCCCTAGGAATGAGGCCCTTCTTCTGGGCTTTTGCCTGGTGACAGCTGGGTCTTCAGGCTTCTCTTCCTTCTCCAACTCCGTGAGTCCAGTTGGCCAGGACAATGGCCAGGCCCTTGCCTGTGTCATCAGCCTTTGGGTCTTCCCATCTTGCTATGGTGAATGCAGCCAGCCCCAGAGACATGGAGGTGCAGGACACCCAGAGGGCTGCAGCAGCCGCAGAACACTACTGATCATCTTCTTTTGCTCTTTGCCATTAAACCTTAACCCTTGCACCACGAACTTCCCCCATTATGTCCCACTGAGGGCCCCTCCCCTCTGGACCTCAGGTTTCCTCCTCTCCAAAGTGGGGAGGTTGGATTTAACCAATGGTTTTCTAACTCTGTTTCCCAGAGCCTAGAGTTCAGCAAAAGGGCCCCAGGGGCCATGAAGGCAAAAGCACCTGGTGGGTCAGACCCCAAGACCCCTGAGCCACTTCAACCAGAGAAAATGAAATCTTGTCTGTTTGTGTGTGGAATGCTCTGACACTTATTGGCTGTGTGACCTTGGGTAAGGGGCTTAACTACTCGGACCCTCAGCATCCTCATTTGTAAAATTGGAATTGTAACAGAACCTATATCATAGGTTGTTACACATTCACATAGCTTGCCATATGGCTAAGTTTTATAAATTTTAGCTAAAAGGGAGAATGCAGGAGAGCCACAGTAGCTTAAGAACCCACTTTCATGGCTCTGGATGGTAATGGAAGTATGAGGGGTTTCTGGTCCTTCTTGCGCAGGAAGATGAGCTCCATAGACAATGTTATCTTTTATTTGTTTTCTTCTTTTAAGATGAAACGTGCTGGGACCACCGGGTCAGCCCGAGGCATGGCCCTTTATGAGGAAGAGGTGAGCACTGAGCAGGAATTGAAGCCACAGTCAGGGTCTGTACTGGGCTAGGCTAGCATCTTCCTCTTCTCTCCCTCCCTGGCCCCTTCCTCATCCATTCTCTTCCAACCACCCCCCTGTTGATTTGCCTTGAGAACAACCCTTTGCCCACAAGTGATGTCCTCTCCACACCTAAGCCTCTGAGGAGGGGGAAGCCCCTTTCTCTCATACCCAGGATGCCCACCAGGTTTTTGGCCTTGTTGTCAGAAGCTTTGTTGACAATTCTACTGACTAGGGCAATGGCACACTCCTTTCTTGGAGTAGATGCATTCTTTGAGCTGTGTGCATGGCAGAAACTGAACTAAGCCTTCATGCTGTCTGCCTGGGTCCCTCATATGACCCCAAGGACTGCCCTTTAAGAATACTGGTTGTGTTAAGGGAGTCTGAGATCAGAGGCAAGAATCTGTCTGGGGCCAGGGTCAAGGCTCAGTCCTGGGTTAGAGCCAAAGCCAATCAGTGACCCGGAGCAAGTTTAGTCTGTGCTCACAGTCAGAGTCTGTTTATGTCTAAGTCAAAGGGAAGCCATTGGTCCCCATGTGCCTGAGACTGGTCCTCAACTTTCACCTTTGGCTCCTCTTTGGAGGCTAAGCCATCTGCTGTCCCTGGTACTGGCTCCCTAGAGCTGGCCAAGCTTCGCCTGCCCTTCATAGGTTCTTCCCTAATGCTCGCCATTCACATTTCCTGGCCCCCTCCCCTCCAAGGCCCACACTGCCTTTTCCCCCAATGCAGCAGGTGGAGCGTGTTGGTGACATCGAGGAGCGTGGCAAGATCCTGGTCTCCCTCATGTACAGCACACAGCAGGGAGGCCTCATTGTGGGCATCATACGCTGCGTGCACCTGGCTGCCATGGACGCTAATGGCTACTCAGACCCATTCGTCAAGCTGTAAGTCAATGCCTTGGGGCTACAGGTGGGCCCTGAAGGAGTCCTGGAGCCTTGGAAAAGGAGAACCAGACAGTTTCACCAAGATCGTTGTACACTGAGACCCAGAGAGGGCAAGGAACCTGCCCAAGGTCACAGTGAAACAAATGCCTACAACTGGCAAGAATGTGGGTCTGGAGTCTCAGGCAGTCAAACTGGTGTGTCACTTGCCCACAGGCAAAGCTCTGTGGCTCTGTCCTCTTGAGGGCCTGCTGATGGCTCTGCAACTAAGCTAATTAGTTATAGTAGCCCCATTTGTACTCCCAGGAGTTGGCCGCACACCCCTCGGACCGCTCAGACCTCCACCACCAAAGAGGCCATCTGGCATTTTCCAGATTCATTCTGGAAATGCTCAGAAAAAAAACATGCCTTCAGTCTGGGGTCTGTTCCAGCAATCTCATCATGGAGAATAAAAGGGACTCTGTTATCTGTGTTAGTCCAGATCCTCTGAGAAGAAGATGCCAAAATAGGATTAAGCAGACAAGGGGTTTATCAGGGGAAATGCCCATTCCAGGAAGTCTGCAGGGAGTCAGGGGAGAAAGGGAGAGATGTTAGACTACAATGCAAGTCTGACCTGAGTGAGGGGACTAGATAGAGAAGTTGGAGGGAAGCATTCCAGATACAAGTTCAGTAAGGCCACCAGGGAGTCCTCAAGCCAAAACTGGCCATCAGACATGTCCTGTATCTCATAGGAGTGGGCCGACCTTAGCATCCCTGCCAGGCCCAGTCATTGGCTGGGAGCATGGCCTTGGCACAAATATGTCATGGACTTCCAAGCACTGCATCCAGGGCCTTGGTCAGTTACGCTTCCTGTAGCTGGAGGTCTGCCAGGTGCAATCTCATAGCCACCGCTGTGTCAGACATCAGGCCCTATTCTCATCTCTGCCAGCTGCTGGCTGTGGACTCTAAGCAAGTTATTTAGCTTCTCATTCAGTTTCTTCATTGGTAAAATGGAGACAAGAGTTCCACTTATCTCCAAGGTGGGCTTAAGGCTCAAATGAGATAGCACAAAGAAAGCAAACAGAATCGAGCCTGGTACAGAAATGTTTAGCACCTCAGTAGAATTCTGCTGGCCTTGGGGCAGCAACATGTATGTTTCTGTGGATGTGGATCTCCATGGAGCATGGAGTCTCCAGTATGCTCTAGCTATGTGACCTGGGGCTCATAGCTTAACATCTCTAGGCCTCAGTGTGCTCATCTGCAAAATGGACAGAGTAATACTGTAATACTGTATATTAGTTCAGGTCCTCCAAGAAGGAAACACCAAGAGAAGATACAGGTGTGCCTGTAGAGGAGATAAGGAGGAATCCAGAGGGGACCCATAGAGACCACAGACCTTGCTACAGGTATGACCCCTGTGGAGCAGAGAAGGAAGGAAGTTTGGGTAGAAACAATCTTAGGCTACAGTGCAGCTCCAAGGAAGCTGCACTATTTCATCCAAGGTGATGGAGAATCCTTGAGCACAGTCACCCATCAGAGGAGTCCTGCATTTCCCAGAAATGGGGCTGCCTAGTGTCCCTGCTAGCGTCAGTTATTGGCTAAGAACACTTGTGGGAAGCGTGGCTTCAGCAAGAACATCATGAATACAGAGCCCAGTAGCTTGTTCATCAGTTTTACCCCCTGCAACTGGAGAATGCAGGCTGAGAGGTACATTTTCAAGGGGTCTGGTACACAGTAAATGCTAATAAATACCTGCCATTATGGTTATAAATAACCACCATCACTGTCCTTACTCATGGCAGAGAGTATTTACTAATATCCCCTCCAGTTGGGAGACACTCCCCCCACCTCCACTGCCTCTGATAACAGAAAGCAATACTTCCCTTTAGTCCATGGCCAAAGAACAGATCCATGTGGGCTGTCTTTCACATTTCCTTTGAATGAAGATTTAGTTAACAAAGAACACACAGGTCAGGGACAAGTTTGGTTTCTAAGAGTAATTTGATTTTATTTCCTCGTATGACCCAAGAGAGGAAATGAGCTCAAGGGGTGCTGTCCAGCACTCCATTAGAGGTCAGCCATGTGCAGATTGGTTTTCTTAAATAATTCTCTCTACCACCCCCTCCCCCACCTACCCAATCCTTCCAGAAGAAGTAGAATTGCCGTGGTCACTACTGAAGCAGCTGACCTGCTGGGTGCAGTTATGGGAGAAAAAATGGGAGACCACTAAGCAGTTTCTGATCAAATAAAGATTTTTTAAAAGCCAGAACTTCCCATTATTTTTGCTTAGCTCTTTGGTAACTTCTAATTCCTCATTTTTGTCTCTTCTTAAAAATTATCCTCAAAACCACTTCTGTAGATGAGAATGAAATGTTCGCCCTCTTTACAGGTCAAGAAACAGAGGCACGGTAAAGTTACGCTCATGTTTAAAGTTGCTCCGCTGGTGACAACCTGAATCAGAATCCAAATGTCCCAGCCCTTAGGAGTGTTTAGCCCATTGTGTTTACTCACCCAGGAAATATTTTGTTTTGTTTGGTTTGTGTTTTGTTCTCTCTCTCTTTTTTAAGAGACAGGGTCTCGCTCTATTGCCCAGGCTGTAGTGCAGTGGTGTGATCATAGCTCACTGCAGCCTCGAACTCTGGGGCTCAAGAGATCCTTCCACCTCAGCTTCCTGAGTACCTGGGACTGAAGGCATACATCACTGTGCCCAGATAATTTTTGTTATTTTTTATAGAGACAGGCTCTCGCTATGTTGCCCAGGCCGGTCTGGAACTCCTGGGCTCAAGTGATCCTCCCGCTTTGGCCTCCTAAAGTGCAGAGATTACAGGCACGAGCCACCATACGCAGCCTCACCCAGAAAATATTGATTGAGTACCTACTATGTGCCAGACACTGGGCCTCACTGGAAAAGAGCCCTGTAGGCAGAAGAAACAGTTTGCTCAAAGGCCCTTGGGTGGAAAGGAGAAGTAAGGAGTGGGGTGAGGAGGATGGCATAAGGTTAGGTTGGGATGGAGCAGAAACCCAACACACACGGTCTTAAGGCCACATGAAGGATTTTGAACTCTCCCCTGAGTTTAAAAGGAACCCAGTACACAGTTTTGAGAAGTGGAGTGACAATAATCAGATTTGCATCTTCCCCTTTCTGTGCATACACCCAGCCTCTCTCTAGGGATTGGGGGCAGCCTAAGGTGGGATAGATGGTAAAATGCCAGGCACCACCAGCCATGGCCATCAATTTGACTTATGGGGAGAAAGTGAGCATGCTAAGAACACAGACTCTAGATGCAACATCTGGATTCAATCCCAGCTGTGTGAGCTAGGGCACACTTCTGCCTCTCTGGATCTCAGTTTCTGTTTCTGTAAACTGAGTGGTTGTGGTTCTACTGCCTAGGGTCATGTGGGGATTAAATATGCCTAAGTTGCTCAGTCAAGTGCCTGGTACCAAGCAGATGCTCTAATGCATATTGGTCATTATCAATGTTGATCCCTTTCTGATTTATTCATCAATTCACCCTGATAAAGAAGGGGCCTTTGGGGTCAAGAGGCTGTTCTTATTCATTAAACGTCATCCATAATAGCATGTTGTGTCGCCTCCCAGCTGGCTGAAACCGGACATGGGAAAGAAGGCCAAACACAAGACTCAAATTAAAAAGAAAACCTTGAATCCCGAATTCAATGAGGTAAGGCTGCCCTATTCTTTTTCATGCTCTGGGATATTTGCTGTGTGTTAGAGAGGCACAAATAGCCACATAGCCATTAAATATGTGGCCACATAGCCATTAAATGCAGCCATTTGAAATGATGATGTAGAAAAATATTTGAAAAATATTTGAGAACATGCTAAGTTGGTTTTTGCCCAAAGTTGTAAATGAAAAAGGAAGTGACAATACTGTATGTTCAGCATTACTTAGTTAACAAAAAATTTATACATCACTGTGAACACATGTGGGGGAATGTTGACATGGTTATTCTTGGGTAGTTGGATTACCGGGAATTGGGGGTGGGGGTTCTTCTTTGTTTTAGCAATGAACATAAAATGAATTTTGTAATTAGGCAGAGAAGCTATTTTTTAAAAATCAGATTGTCTGGGAACATATGTACTCAGTCCACTTCAACTGTATTTATTTATTTATTTATTTTTGAGACAGAGTCTCACTCTGTGGCCTAGGCTGGAGTGCAGTGGCGTGATCTTGGCTCACTGCAACCTCCACCTCCCTGGTTCAAGCAATTCTCCTGCCTCAGCTTCCCGAATAGCTGCAATTACAGGTGCCCACCACCATGCCTGGCTAATTTTTGTATTTTTAGTAGAGATGGGGTTTCACCATGTTGGTCAGGCTGGTCTCGAACTCCTGAGCTCAAATGAGCCACCATCTCAGCCTCCCAAAGTGCTGGAATTACAGGTGTGAGCCACCGGGCCCGGCCACTTCAACTACTTTTATTCCTAAGCAATAAAAAAGGGGATGCCCCTTCATAAACTACCAGAGGGGAAGGACTATGTTCATGGCCATTTACCTACAAGGAAACTTGAGCTCTATTAGAAAAACCTCACCAGCCTTCCCAATTTCAAGCAGAGAATTCACTGAAAAGAGGATGACAGTGCTTTGTTACACAGAGTGTTTGTTGGAAGGGGATCACGGGACCTGGGGCAGAGGATCGGCACGGGAAGACCTCCTTGCTCCCAGAATGCCAGCTCAAGGACCTCTCCTTGGCCCATAACCCCTAGGACTCGGCCTCTTACCTCCCAATGCTGTGGGTTCAGAGGGCTCTTACCCACATGTCTTCCTCTGTTGTATTCAGGAGTTTTTCTATGACATCAAACACAGTGACCTGGCAAAGAAGTCACTGGACATTTCAGTCTGGGACTATGACATCGGCAAGTCCAATGATTACATCGGTGAGTGTTCCTAACTCCAGAGAAAACGCCCTCTTCTGTCCTCCCCAGAACAGGAGAGCCTTATCCAGGGCTACAGAGAGTTGAGGTCATTGCTATTCTTTTGGCAACCTCATTGTTCAAATGCTAAATTGAGACCCATGATCTTGACCTTGGTCCAATTTGGGGATGTCTTTACATGAAAAGCCTTACAAAACTTGATTATTTGTTGAACAAATCACCTCCAGTGGGGTAATTAAATCACAGGAGAGATTTGCGTTCTCTGCAGAAAGCAGGGTGCAAAAGAATTCTTAATTTATTTGCATGTCCAGGATAAAATTTTTAATTTTTTAGTTCCTGTTTGAATCATGAGGAAGAAAATCAATTAAAGATGAAGCAGGGGGGTGGGGACTCCAGGCAAGGGACAGAGCCTGAGCTAAGGGGTAAAGACAGGATTGAGCAGGATGATGAACCTTTTTGGAAATAGACAATGAGTTCCCAGAAGTAGTGGGAGATAAGTTTCAGTGAGTAGAATGGTGATTTGTAGAAAGCCTTTAAAAATAGACAGTGAAATTATGACTCAGTGGAACAGTAGGGAGCCATTGCAGGTTCTTGAGGCAGAGAAGGACCGTAATAATAATAACAACAACAGCAGCAACGTTATAACAACTCTCTATAGAGTATGGATCCCAGGTTGCTGGGGGTCACTGCTTGGTGCAGTTTTTTCCCCAACTACACATTTGGGTCTAGAACGACCTCTATTCTGACCACCTGCTCCTATCTTCCCATTTATCCTCCAGGAGGCTGCCAGCTGGGGATCTCTGCCAAGGGAGAGCGCTTAAAACACTGGTACGAGTGTCTGAAAAATAAAGACAAGAAGATAGAGCGCTGGCACCAGCTACAGAATGAGAACCACGTGTCAAGTGATTAGGCTAGTGCCCAGGTCCCCATCTCCATGTCCCGGGTCCCCCCCAGCCTGCTCTAGCTGCCCACCGCACCCTGATCTCTCTTCTCTATGCCTACCTCCCCCCATACCCTGCTGATCTCCCTGAGCCTGCCTTTGAGCCCCCGTCACGTTGGGCACTGCTGCCAAAGACTCCCTCCTCCCTGATGCTGGGATGTGGGCTCTGAATACAGCCCCTCTCTCATCCCTGGGATGGAGCAATGGGGATGGGGTTGGGGAGACGTTTACAAAGAGGTTGATCATTTAATAACCTCTCAGTTTGGGTAAATTACAAAGGTTCTTCATCATTTAGGACTGTTTTTAGACCCTCCTAGCCTTGAACACACACATGTACACACACACACACACACACACACACACACCCTTTCATTCCCTGTGTTGTGTCTCTGTATATCCCCAGTTGTCAGCAGACCCGGACAATGCTGTGAGAGAAGCATTGGGGCACAAATAGAGCCTCCGGGCTCCCACTGCCCCCTGAGATGTACACCCTGATTGCCAGGAAAACAGACTGCTGTGTTCAGTAACACACCCTCCCTGCTCCAAGTGCACCAGGATGCAAATGCACAGAATTCACCAGGGGCTTGGACGCTCTCCTCTTTCCGAATGTCACCTGTGTGCTTCCTAGCAAAACAAAAACAAACGACAACAACAAAAAACCCTTCCTCTGTCACCTTTTCTCCTCCTCCCTCTTCTTTCCCTTCCATGATAGTAGATTCTCTCTTTCTCAGCCTCTCCCCTCTCCTTTCTCTCCCTGCCTTTCTTCCCTTTGCCTTTCTCTCTCTCTAAAGCAGTAACACCGCAAAAACAACAGCAAAAAAAGTGTATGTTAACCTAGCCTCACCCCCTTGCTCTCACCAGCCTGACCAGGAAACTGAGAAACTGGCCCAAACCTGAGATTCCACTTGGGCCCACGCTTCTTAACTGACCCACTCCTCCCGTTGGCAGAACCAGACATTCCCAGGGCTTGGGCCAATGGCTGGCACTGCCCTGAGTGCATGGCAGCATCCCTCAAGCTGTGTAGATGCCCCATAGAGGACTCTCTCATCCGTGGGCTCCCCGGGTGGGCACGGAGGCATTTAGAAGACCAGGGCCATGGGTCTGAGGAAGCCTCAGCCAAAGCCTCCAGCCTTTCTCCTTTCTCCGCTCTTAGGTAAATGAACAAGCTACCCTCCTCCCCAATGCCCTTGACTCTGTTTCATTGACTCTTTTGCATCCCATCTCTCACTCAGAACCCCCTCCAGTCTCTCTGTCTCTCTTTGTCTGTCTCTCTGTCTCCTGCACTCTCGTTACTAAGCTTCCTGGGAGAATCAAATAATATCATGGCTATGGAACAGTAGAGAGAGACAGGCCTGATGCCAAAGGCTTTGGGCTCATCATCAATCTTTCACTTTCTTCCTATAAAAAAAATTATTTTATAAAGGAGGAAAAGGCAATGTGGGCAAACATTACAAATTTGAGGTTGAAGTCAGGCAATCTTCAATGCCCTGTGAGAAAGGTTCGATTTTCCCAATTTTGATGAAGTCTTCCCTCATGAAAATCACTCCCAGTCATCCCAAACCCCTGACATTCTCTACAGAAGCATCAGACAGATACTCAAACTCTCACTTTCCCCAAATCACATCTCTTAACTTTTCAACGCCCTCCACCCTCAGCTCCCTGCACAATTCATGGGAGGACTCATTTCTTGCCTTGAATAACCATTTTCTAAACATCGAGCTCTTCACCTTCCCCAAGGTGGCCAACAGCTTCCTGGCTGCCATCTTTCCTTTTGACCTTATCTTTCCCCATTAGTCCCTGGTGGCACCTACTCTCAGCCCACCTCCCTCACCACAGTTTCCCCTTAGGAGACAGCATGCTGGCTGTGTCGCCCAAGCCTGATGCTGGTGTAGGCGCTGGAATCAGCATGCAGCAAGCTCACAGTGCCCCTAGTCTGGGTGCCCGCTGTCCCCGACAAATGTAACCACCTCCCTGCCTAGAATACACACACGTCCTCCGGTGCATGCACAACCACCCAGCATCTTTCTTTGTGATGATGTAGCCAAAAATAAAGTAGGAGCATCCAAGAAAACGAGTGGTCTGCAGTTTTCCTTTCTGGTTTCTGCGAAGTCCTCCTCCCCACCAGGACATATGCTATTCTGATAGTCAGTACTTAATGAGCATCTACTATGTTCCAGGCACTGGCGACAGATGTGTTCTCTGCCCACGAGGAGTTTGCTTTATGGTGGATTTTATCTTGGGCAGGTGGGCCTAAGGTAACTTGGCTGACTCCAAACCCTTCTAGAAGAATACTTTTTGCTGGTGCCTACCAAACAGGAGGGCAACATCCTCATCCTCCTCCTGCTGCTACAAGACCTGGGAAACGTCCCAGGTGGTTGCAGAATCAGAAATTGCCAAAGCTAAAAGAGAACATACAATTGAGCCACAACCTAGTTCAATCAACTCACTTTTTAGACAGATGAAGAAACCAAGGTCCAGAGAAGAAAATGCCATGTCCAGTGTTAAACAAAGGCAATACCAGGAAAGGAGTTCGATCGTTGGACTCCCAGAATCCAGTGTTCTTCACACACTGATCGATGAGCATGGACCATCAAATGCCTCCCTTGCATTGTAGCACCTTCCAACCTACAATGATTCTCTCATTGGAGATTCTCGATAGTCCTGAAGGTGAACTGAGTCAGCAACTGACTCTCCAGAAAAAAAAAATCTTTTTTTTTTTTTTTTTTATTATGGAGTCTCCCTCTGTCCCTCAGGCTGGAGTACAGTGGCACAATCTCTGCTCACTGCAACCTCCACCTCCCGGGTTCAAGTGATTCTCCTGCCTCAGCCTCCCGAGTAGCTGGGACTACAGGTGCTTGCCGCCACACCCGGCTAATTTTTATATTTTTAGTAGAGGCAGGGTTTCGCCATGTTGGTCAGGCTGGTCTCAAACTCCTGACCTCAGGTGATCCACTTGCCTTGGCTACTCAAAGTTTTGGGATTACAGGTGTGAGCCACTACACCCGGCCTCTAGAATTCTTAATCACACTATAATCCATCCCCAAAGTGCTTAAGCAATTTATCAGTAATGGTTACTTCAAGAAGGAGCCATCAATTCTGTCCCACAGATAATTCTCTTTTCTTTGAGACCATTTCCTGTTTGTGCCCTCAAAAGCAAAAGCTGGCATGTTAGTCTCACTTGGGAGATTTCTTTCCCCACAGATTCTGCTAAACCCTGAGGATAAGGTGTATAGTTGAAAATATTTTCTGGCCGGGCACAGCAGCTCATGCTTATAATCCCAGCACTTTGGGAGGCCGAGGTGGGTGAATCACCTGAGGTCAAGAGTTCGAGACCAGTCTGGCCAACAGGGTGAAACCCTGTCTCTACTAAAAATACAAAAATTAGCCAGGTGTGGTGGCGTGCACCTGTAGTGCCAGCTACTCGGGAGGCTGAAACAGGAGAATAGCTTGAACCTGGGAGGTGGAGGTTGCAGTGAGCTGAGATCATACCACTGTACTCCAACCTGGGTGACAGAGTAAGACGCCGCCTCAAAAAAAAAAAAAAAAAGAAAAAGAAAATATTTCCTGGTTGATGCCTTGTGATTTCCACCTTCATGATGACTTTGAAAACCACTACCCAAAAAGTTGATCAGTTTTTCCTGGTGGCAATTTAGCTAGCTGCCACTAGGTGGAGAGAGGTGCTAATTATGTCCTTAGAAGCCTCACAGGAACAGCTGGAGACACTTGCCATTCTCCCTGTGCTCCTGGCAGACATCACTAATCAATACGGCATCTTTCCTACAGAACCTACAAGCAGCCTCTGAGTCCCTCTCAACCCAGGGTTCCAGGGAGCCACCACCAGTCAGTCATGGGTGGCGGTTAAAAAGAAGCCTAATTTCCATCCTTAAACTGGTTGATCTTCATTTATATGCAGACAAGCCTAACAGACTGAGATGAACATACAGGAGGAAAGTTTTCATAAATATTAGTACACCTGATCTAGCTAATTGTGCTGCCCCACCCCTGACCCCTGGCTGACCCCATTGAAATAAAACACTCTGTAAGTGGCTATATGGTGTGTTGGAAAGCATCTGCCCTGAAAAGAACGCGAGCCAAAATTTCAATTAAGTCCAGCATTCAAATTCTGACTGACACTTTCTAGCTATGGGAACTTGGCCAAGTCATTTAGCCTCACTGAGTATCAGTTTCCTCAGCTGGAGTAATAAATATTTCAAAGAGTTGCTGAGAGATGTTAACGGTACAGTCCATCGAGAGTACCTGGCACGTAGTAGAGACTTGACAAGTGCCACCTCCGCTTGCCAGCCCCTAAACTTGGGCTCCCTCACGCAGCTTGCATCGGGGAAAATGCTCTTGAACTGGCATTGGTTGAAAACAGGACGTTGGAGCTGAAAGTGGGTGAAGTTCAGGTGAGGCAGAAATCAGATCTCCAAGGTCTCTGCACAGATGGGAGCAGACTCTCCTGCTGGTGCCCACAGAAATTCAGCCAACATCTAGAGATGTTTGTTCTGAGTAGGAGTCAGAGGCAAGATCAAGTTGCTGAGGTCTGGTTTCCCATCAGGGATGACAAAAGGGAGGCCAGGAAAAGGGGCAGGTCACAGGGCTGGTGGTTCCTGGTGAAAGCAGTGCAGGCCCAATTGCGGCTGGGCTTACCGCCAAGTGGATTAAACACTCAATGCTCTGAAACCTGCCAGGCTGACCCTTGCTCAGCTCAATCAGATCTGCCAGGGACATTGGCTTGATGAGGTTAAGCAAGCCATTCAAGGTGATGGACACCCCAATTACCCTGATGTGATTGTGACACATCATACACCTGTGTCCAAAATATTGCATGCACCCCATAAATATGTACAACTCTTATGTATTCATAATAATTAAAAATAATTTTTGACCAGGCATGGTGGCTGATGCCTGCAATCCCAGCACTGTGGGAGGCCAGGCAGGTGGATCACCTGAGGTCAGGAGTTCAAGACCAGCCTGGCCAATATGGTGAAATCCTGTCTCTACTGAAAATACAAAAAATTAGCCAGGCGTGGTGGCGGGCACCTGTAATCCTTGCTATTTGGGAGGCTGAGGCAGGAGAATCACTTGAACCTGGGAGGTGGAGGTTGTGGTAAGCTGAGATCATGCCATTGCACTCCAGCTTAGGCAACAAGAGTGAAACTCCGTCTCAAAAAAAAATAAATAAAAATAATAATTTTTAAAAAGAGTACCATGAAAGCAAAAGTATGTACATAAGAGGTATCTTTTGGCCGGGTGCGGTGGCTCACGCCTGTAATCCCAGCACTTTGGGAGGCCAAGGCAGGTGGATCACAAGAGTTTGAGACCAGCCTGGCCAACATGGTGAAACCCCGTCTCTACTAAAAATACAAAAAATTAGCTGGGTGTGGTGGCAGACACCTGTAATCCCAGCTACTCGGGAGGCTGAGGGAGGAGAATTGCTTGATCCCAGGAGGTGGAGGTTGCAGTGAGCCAAGATTATGGCACTGCACTCCAGCATGGGCAACAGAGTGAGACTCTGTCTCAAAAAAAAAAAAAAAAAAAAAAAAAAAAAAAAAAGAGGTATCTTTTGCTTGGCTCTTGTCCATATCTGCTGTGTGATCTTGAATAAGTCACTTCCCCTTTTTGTTCTCTGACTACACAGGTAGACATCAGAGCATCATGATTCTCTATGTTAATTGTTACACCCCATAAATGTGCCGTTGTTTCCTAATCATTCGTTGAAGACCGAGACCTTTTTGCTGAGGACAGGCCCCCTGACTGGAGTCCCACACTATCTTTCTCTCAAAGCGCAAGAATGAGTGGTGTGTAATTTCCTGTTTCTGTTTCTTTAAAGGAAACAATAATTTAAAGCCACCTGCAAAGGCATGAAGGCATAATCCTGGGCAAAAGTGGATTTGTTTCAACTTATTTTCTCAATCTTCTATGGGATCATCTCACTCTTAGCTAATTCTACGCAATGCTTGCCTTTATTGCATCTTTCCAAAGAATTGGATGTTGGTTTCCTAAGGACAGCTCTCTTTTGCACTCATCTGTTTACAGATATATATATTTAATCAAAAATATTTAACAACTGCAATTGCCATGAGGACATTTGGGAGCAAACAAAATTTTATTTATTTATTTAGAGACAGGGTCTCACTATGGGAGCAAACAAAGTCTTCTTTATTTATTTAGAGACAGCATCTAGCTATGTTGTCCAGGCTGGTCTCAAACTCCGGAGCTCAAGTGAGCCTCCTGCCTCCACCTCCGAAAGTGCTGGGATTACAAGCCTGAATCACTGCTCCTGGCCAGAATCTTTTTTTTTTTTTTCAGTTAATTTAGAAAGTTTATTTTGCCAAGGTTGAGGATGCCAACCCGTGACACAGCCTCAGGAGGACCTGAGGACATGTGCCCAAGGCAGTCAGAGACAGTTTGGTTTTATACATTTTAGGGGACATGAGACATCAATCAACGTATGTAAGATGGACATTGGTTTGGTCTGGAAAGGCGGGACAACTCGAAGTGGGGAGGGGGCTTCCAAGTGGTAGGTATATAAGACACAAATGGTTGCATTATTTTGAATTTCTGATTAGCCTCTCTGAAGGGGGCAATCAGAAATGCATTTATCTCAGTGAGCAGAGGGGTGATTTTGAATAGAACGGGAGGCAGGTTTGCCCTGAGCAATTCCCCAGCTTGACTTTTCCCTTTAGCTGAGTGATTTTGGGGCCCCAAGATATTTTCCTTTCACATTTCCTCCCTTTTCTTTTTAAAAATATTTTAGACAAAGCATTTTAGAAGAAAATGAGTCTCTAGTCTCAGGTTTCATCTGATTTCTCTTGGCTAGGATGGTTTATTACTATAGGGGTAAGTCCGGAGTTATTAGGAAAGCTCATTTTTAGAAGGTTGTAAAGTCTCATGTCCTGTGAAGAGAAAATAGGGGGAGGAAGGGAGAACACAACAAACAAAAGAACAATCCTGGAAAATCAAGATACAGGCCAGAGTATTCCGAAGTTCACACATCAGCAGATAGGTATGAAAGTGGCTTACGTCTGTAAATATGTAATTATTTTTTTCTGAGGTTTAAGTTGTCTAGCTCCAGTTTGCAGGGCTTTATAAAAGCACAACTTAGTTTTCAGTGATTCCAAATTAGGGAAAATGGGGGGAAAAGAAGGAAAAAATTTAAAATATTATTTTGGAGACTTGTAGCCAAGAAAAATTAGAATTCAGTCCAAACTATAGAAAATAATAAAAATTGAAAAACATTAGGCAAGACTAGAATGCAACAACAGGTGTACTATAGTTTTTGAAGCATAATCTTTCTCCAGTTTCCCATTTTTACTAAAGATGAATCATGGTAAGGGAGGAGACCACCCCTCATATTGTCTTATGCCTAATTTCTGCCTCCAAAGAAAGAAGATGTAAAAACTAAAAGGCAGAAATGAAATCCACAAGCAGGTAGCCTGGTGCCACACCCTGGGCCTGGTAGTTAAAGATCGACTCCTGACCTAATAGGTTATTTGCATAAAAAAGGCACTGTGAAGATCCCTGTCCTATTCTGTTCTGTTCTAATTACTGGTGTATGCAACCCCCAGTCATGTACCCCCTGCTTGCTCAATCCATCACGACCCTCTCACATGGACCCCCTTAGAGTTGTGAGCCCTTAAAAGGGACAAGAATCGCTCACTCGGGGAGCTCAGCTCTTGAGACAGGGGTCTTGCCCATGCTCCCGGCCGAATAAACCCCTTCCTTCTTTAACTCGGTGTCTGAGGGGTTTTTGTCTGCAGCTCTTCCTGCTACAATGGTATGACTGGTTTGCTTTATCATACTTGGCCTAATTTTTTGCATACAGTGCAGCAAGAATCTTCAACTAGTAAATGAAGTGAGTATTGCAAAGACAGCACCCCACCCTCATGGTGACATTTAGTCTTAGGCCAAAGTCAACATCTTATACAGTAGGAGTGGAGAGTGTCAACTCATGAATAATCTGGTTAAGAGGTTAAGGGTTTGTAAGAAAGATAGTTGGCATTTACAAAATATTTCATCCAACAAAAACAGGAAACACATTCTTCTCAAACTCACACAGAACATTCACCAAGACATATTATGTTCTGGGCTAGAAAACACACTTTAACAAATTTCAACAGAGATATGTTATGCAAAGCATGCCCTTTACTACAATGGAATTAAAAAAGAAACCCACAAAAGAAAGATAGCTGGAAAATTCCAAAATATATGGAGATTAAAGAACACACCTCTAAATAACACATGGGGCAAGGAAGAAGTCTCAAGAGAAATTTTAAAATATTTTGGGCCAGGCTCAGTGGCTTACGCCTATAATCCTAGCACTTTGGGAGGCTGAGGCAGATGGATCGCTTGAGCCCAGGAGTTCGAGACCAGACTGGGCCACATGCAGAAACCCCATCTCTACAAAAAATACAAAAATTAGCCAGGCATGGTGGCATGTACCTGTAGTCCCAGCTACTTGGGAGGCTGAGGTGGGAGGATCACCTGAGCCCAGGAGGTCAAGGCTGCAGTGAGCTAAGATTGTGCCACTGCACCCCAGCCTGGGCAACAGAGTGAGACCCTGTCTCAACAAAATAAATAAATATATTTTGAATTAAATTAAAATGAAAAAACAGCCTATCAAAAAGTGTGGGATGTAGTGAAAGTAGTGTTTAGAGGGAAAGTTATAGCATTGAATGCATATATTAGGAGAAGAAAGATCTAACTCAGAGAGGGATGAACAGGTGAGGCATAGGGGATTTTAAGGTAGTGAAACTCTTGCAGGGCAGGGGAGCCCCAAAACTGGGACACCGTCCGGGAAGGCTCTTGGCTTCGTCCAGGAAGGAATTCAAGGGTGAGCTAGAGGAGGAAGAAAAAGGTTTATTGAGGCAGCAGGGTTACAGTTCTGTGACTGTCCCTGCAGAGCAGGGCCACCCCATAGGCAGTGCCTGGAGAGCAGCAGCTCAGGGCACTTCTATAGTCACATTCATACCCACTTTTAAATACGTGCAAATTAAGGGCAGGTTATTCAGAAATTTCTAGAAGAAGGGTGGTAACTGGGTCATTGCCAGGGAATGAGTAAACTGTTCATGGTGCTGGTGCTCATGCCAGCCAGTCTTCAATCTGGCCCTGAGTCAAGCCCCACCTCCTATCTCAAAACTATTCTGCATGGTGCTGTAATGGTGGATACATGACATGTTATGTTTGGCAAAATCCATAGAACTGTAGGACACAAGAGTGAACCTTAATGTAAACCTTAATGTAAATGGACTTTTGTTAATTATGATGTATTAATATCAATTCATCAATTGTAACAAATGTATCACAGTACTGTTAATAATAGAGGAACTTATTGGCAGGAGAGAGAGCTTATGGAACTCTCTGCACATTCAGCTCAATATTTCTGTAAGCCTAAAACTGCTGTGAGAAATAAAATCCAACCTGGGCAACATAGCAAGACCTTGTCTCTACAAAAAATAAAAAATGAGCTGGGTGCAGTAACGCATGCCTGTAGTCCCAGGTATTCAGGAGGCTGGGGCAGGAGGATCCCTTGAACCCAGGAAGTTGAGGTTGCACGAGTCATGATCATGCCCCTGCACTCCAGCCTGGATAACAAAGCAAGATCCTGTCTCCAAAAAATAATAAAATAAAATAAAAATCTACTAATTGAAAGGGAAAAAAGCATAGTATAATACCATTCTTAACAAAAAGAAAAGAGACCTGTGTTTGTGTGTGTGTTAACATTTGAAAAAAATCTGGAAAGCTCTATATCAAAACGTTTATAGAGGCAATTTTGTAGTGTTAGAATCATAGATGATCTTTCCACTTCCTGGTTTTTCTGACTTTTTTTCTTTTTGCAGTGGGCATGTATTGCTGGAAAATACCACAGACAACTGTGAAAGGATTTCATCAACAACAAAAAAAAGATAAAGAAGGAAACACAAAATCTGTTAAATAAGATTTATGTTGGCTGGAGGTTAAAATGCATTTCCAGAGCAGAGTTCAGAGAAAGGCTGGGCTGCTTGTTGCTGGCTAAAGGACAAAGGGTAAGTTTCAGGAAGCAGAAGAGTGAGCAGATGAAATTCAGCACTGGGATCAGGGGAGTGTCTGATTTGCAAAAGGAAAGTGCAAAGACAGCTCCTCCCTTCTGAGGAAACGAAACCAACAGCAGTCCAAGCTCAGTCAGCAGAAGAGATAAAAGCAAACAGGTCTGGGAGGCAGTTCTGTTGCCACTCTCTCTCCTGTCAATGATGGATCTCAGAAATACCCCAGCCAAATCTCTGGACAAGTTCATTGAAGACTATCTCTTGCCAGACACGTGTTTCCGCATGCAAATCAACCATGCCATTGACATCATCTGTGGGTTCCTGAAGGAAAGGTGCTTCCGAGGTAGCTCCTACCCTGTGTGTGTGTCCAAGGTGGTAAAGGTGAGTCCAGGCCTGCCTGGCCAGGGGAGGGGTGGCTGAATGTGCAAGAGTTGAGATTGAGAATGAGAGAGAGAGAGAGAGAGAAGCAAAAACCTAGAACCCAGGGTGCAAATGTGAGTACAGAGAGCTGAGATCTTCTGGGATGGTGGTTTCTTATTTATCCACACAGCATGTTAAAATAGATTCTGGGGTGAAATCCTACATCCCTATTATTAACAAGTGACCCTCCCCCCTACTTCCCGCTGAAGTTTATGAACCACTGTCCTGGGCGATGCCCATTTCAGAAATAGGGAACTGAATCCCAGCTCTGGTAAACAGTTTGCTAATTCGTGGCCAGGCTAGGGGCTCACCATTTCTGCAGTGAAGAATCATATGTTTTGAAAGCAAATAGCACCTGCTGGCTGCAAGACCTTGAGCAAGTCACTTAACTACTCTGTGTTCCAATTTCCTCAGCCATAATCCCCAATACTGTTGCAGTCTTGCCAGTGCACCTTAATGTAGCAGCTTCTCACTGAATTAGTACCCAAGGTTCTTTGTCCTGCATCCAAGAAAATTAAGGAACATGGACACAAACGTGAGCTTGGAGCAAAAGTTCAGTAAGCAAAAGAAGAAAGCTGTCTCCACTGTGGAGAGGGAAGTCTGAGTGGATTGCCAGATTGCAGCTGAATGCAAAAAACTTTTATAAGAAACCACTCTCCTCCCTGTAACTGTTTGAGAAACTTTTTATCAGTAAAGCTGTGCAACTTCCCTTACCTTATGCAGCTGTGGGTATATCTCTAGGCAAGCATAAAGCGCTGCTTCTCTTGTATGTATAACTGTGGATTTGTTTTAGGTAAGTCCCACTCCCTGCGCCAGTTTCAGGCAGGCCGCTCCTCCAGGGCCCAGCCTTGACCATTTACCTAACTGATTTTTCCTCTACTTTCCCTCAATACCTCATAGGGCCGTGTAGATTAAGTAAAATAGTAAGTGTGAACCACCCAGCATAAGCTAGTCCTGGGCATCGTAAAGGACAATGGGAAAAGAACACAGATCCTGGAAGAAGGCCCCCAGGTTTGAATTGTATTTGCCACCTACTAGCTGGGTGATGGGGCTGATATATTATCTCACTGAGCATCCATTTTCCCATCTGTAAAATGGGAACTAATGATAATGGCATCCAAATCATAGCATCATTGTGAGCATTATAGGAGTTTAAGACATGCAATGCCTTCAGAACAGTGGCTAGTGCTCCATAATGTTAGTGATTGCTCCTGTCATTTTATTTAGGGAGGTTTGCCTCACTAAGCATCAATTATTATTTTTGTCGTCTTTTTCAGGGTGGCTCCTCAGGCAAGGGCACCACCCTCAGAGGCCGATCTGACGCTGACCTGGTTGTCTTCCTCAGTCCTCTCACCACTTTTCAGGATCAGTTAAATCGCCGGGGAGAGTTCATCCAGGAAATTAGGAGACAGCTGGAAGCCTGTCAAAGAGAGAGAGCATTTTCCGTGAAGTTTGAGGTCCAGGCTCCACGCTGGGGCAACCCCCGTGCGCTCAGCTTCGTACTGAGTTCGCTCCAGCTCGGGGAGGGGGTGGAGTTCGATGTGCTGCCTGCCTTTGATGCCCTGGGTGAGAGCTCCCAGCTTCTTTTTCTCCCTCTTCCCATTTCTGAGCAGAAATCTCCCACAGTTTGAGAGCTTTTTGCCCCAACAGGGCATCTCTCTAAAGCAGGGTGGGAGGAGATCTTAGGATCTGTCCCGGGGCAAGAATGAATACGGTCATGATCTATCACAGGAGAGACATTAAACAGCAAATTGGCATAATGTGGGGACAAAGACATTTCTTACAGAACATCTGCAAGGCTTACTGGTTCTGTTTAAGGCAAAATGTGTGAATTTTATCTTTCTAAAATCAGGCAGCAAAGATGTGGCTTAAAGTTCATGTTACTCTCATCTTTGTCCCAACATGAGATCTCATCAAACGTATGCAGCACGTTGGGAGATAGATATTTATAATTTGCAGGAACATTTGGACAGGAAGTGTAACCTCTCAGAGGCTCCCTTGCCACATCAGGAGAATTGGTAAAACCACACTACCTGTATCATATCATTATTTTAAGTGATAAATGATCATCTACATTCAGCTCTGATGAGTAATAGGTGTTCAAAAATAGGAACTTCCAGCCAAGTGTGGTGGCTCATGCTTGTAATTCCAACACTTTTGGAGGCTGAGGCAGGAGGGTCGCTTGAGCCCAGGAGTTCAAGACCAGCCTGGGCAGCAAAGTGAAACCTCATCTCTACTAAAAATTTTAAAACATTAGCCAAGTGTGGTGGTACATGCCTGTGGTCGCAGTTATTCAGGACGCTGAGACTGAACGATCACATGAGGCCAGCCAAGGATTCGAGGTGTCAGTGAGCCACGAATGTACCACTGCACTCCATCCTAGGCACAGAGCAAGAGCAAGACCCTGTCTCAATCAATCAGTCAATCAGTCAAAACTATGAATTTCCCAGCTGTATATGAAGGCACCTCAAAACACCACAGTGAACTCACAGAGGGACACGGAATAGTTTAGATTTTAATTTTTTGAGGGAAATGCGATGACATCTGTCACACACCGCACAAACGGCTACTATTAAACTGAACTTACTGATTAGTGGCTACTAATTAATAGTTGGTCATTAAGCAGTAATTAGTGATTAATTATCAAGTAATTAGGACTTAATTAAAGGAACTGTCACAGTTTCCTTTAGTCCTAGGGCAGCCATGAAAAAAAAAATGCTGACTCTCCAAAGACACCAGGGTATGAGAAAGTTTTGGATTCTCTCCTTTGTGCCATCTCCTGTGTTGGGGGCTGAAGTACAATGGTTGTAAAAGACAAGAGGGAGAAGGCTGGTCACAGTGGCTCACGCCTGTAATCTCAGCACTTTGGGAGGCCAAAGTGGGGGGATCACTTGAAGTCAGGAATTCAAGACCAGCCTGGCCAACATGGTGAAATCTCACATCTACTAAAAATACAAAAATTAGCTGGGCGTGGTGGTGTGTGCCTGTAATCACAGCTACTCGGGAGGCTGAGGCAGGAGAATTGCTTGAACCCAGGAGATGGAGGTTGCAATGAGCCAAGATCATGCCATTGCACTCCAGCCTGGGCAACAGAGTGAGACTCCATCTCGAAAAAAAGAAAAAAGAAAAGAATATAAGGAGTGATTAAAAAAGAAAAGAAAAGAAAACTAAGTAGGGTGAAACAATAGATAGCCATGGGGGTTAGGGAGCTTTTTTAGACAGGGTCGTGAGGGAGGGTCCCTGAGCCTGAGTGGCGAGAAGGAGTGAGCCTTGGGGAGATCTGGAGGTTCTGGGAAGAGGAATGGCAAGTGCAGAGGCCCTGAAGCAGCAATGACCATGGCACATTTGAGGAAGAGAGAAAAAGTCAGAGAAGTAGAAAGTGGGCAAAGGAAGCAAGACAGGAGGTGAGGTGGGAGAGGTTCCAGAGACCAGATCACACCAGACATCATTGGCCACCATAAGATCTTTGGGTTTTAAAATTCCAGATGTTATGGGATGCAGGAAGCAGCATGATCAGCAGCATTCTCTAGGTGCCAGGTTGAGAACAGGCTGTGGGGGAACCTGTAAAGAGGTTGCTGCCATAGTTCCGGCGAGTGACGGTGGTGGCTTGGATGGGGTGATGGCAGTGGAGAGGGCAGGAGGGAGGATCAGGAATGGACCTCAAGACTTCCCAGCCCTGGGTCTGCTGCACTTTTCAATCAAACCCCATGGCCAGGGAGATTGTCCCCTCAGAGTGACTGAAGGAAATTCAGAGAAGAGCTGACACCTAAGTTGTAGATTTTGCCCGAACAGGTCAGTTGACTGGCGGCTATAAACCTAACCCCCAAATCTATGTCAAGCTCATCGAGGAGTGCACCGACCTGCAGAAAGAGGGCGAGTTCTCCACCTGCTTCACAGAACTACAGAGAGACTTCCTGAAGCAGCGCCCCACCAAGCTCAAGAGCCTCATCCGCCTAGTCAAGCACTGGTACCAAAATGTATGGCCCTCCCACCAGGCCTGGTGGGTCCTGTCTCGACTGGGAGCAGAGGAGGGGTGGGGGGAGGAGAGAAAGAAGGGAGTGAAGGGAAGAGGAGGGGGAGTGGTGGAGGGAAATAGAGGGATGGAAAAAGGAGAGAAAGGAAAAAGAGGTGGAGAGAGGAGCCTGCAACAGAAGGGAGAATGAAAGGGAAGGAAGAGAGAAAGGAAGGGATTTTGGTGTTCTGTTCACTGCTGTATCCCCAGAACTTAAAACAGAGCCTGGTGCATAATAGGTGTAAATAACTGTTGAATAAATGAATCAATGCTACATACACACACGCACGCACACACACACAGAGAGAGAGTCAACCACACTCTTCAGAAGGTGGATAAGTTAAAACAAGAGTTTCAAACAAATATATGTTCAGATGCCCTTTCCTCCCACTTACTGGCTGGCTGGCCTTAAGTAAGCAACTTAACCTTTCTGTTCTTTCTGCTTTCTTATCTGCAACGAGTAGCATGCCATAGCTAGAGTAACACGGCATATAGTTGGTCCTGATAAATGTAGCATATTTTAGCCACCATAGGAGTACACATAATAAAAGCTAACATGTAGTATGTGCTTAGCTTATCTATGTTTTGTGGATGTGATACAATTTTCTGTTCACTTTTAAATGCCCTGCATCTTAGTCAATTTTAACAGTGATTCTGTAAGTTAGATAAGGTTAGGCATTATTATTAAATCCATTTTACACCAAGAGAAACTTGGGTCAAAAAGAGAAACTCCTGGGTCACATGGCTCATTCGGCCAATAAGTAGCAGAAGTAAAATTTGAATTTGGCTGGGCGCGGTAGCTCACACCAGTAATCCCAGCACTTTGGGAAGCCAAGGCAGGTAGATTGCTTGAGCCCAGGAGTTCAAGACTAGCCTGAGCAACATGGCAAAACCTCGTCTCTACAAAATAAACTAAAAATTTAGCCAGGTGTGATGGTGAGCACCTGTAGCCCCAGCTACTGGGTAGGCTGAGGTGGGAGGATCGCTTGAGCCTGGGAGGAGGAGGTTGCAGTAAGTCAGGATTGCACTACTGCCCTCCAGCCTGTGAGACAGAGCAAGATCTTCTCTCAAACAAACAAACAAACAAACAAACAAAAACTCGAATTTGGGTCTATTGACTTAAGAGTTTGCCTGATAATAATAGGCATTCAATGTATATTTCTTGAATGAACGAATGAATGAAAATAATCAGGAATAAACTTTCCAATTTAAAAGTAACACCTCTAGGTAAAAAAAAGACAATCATTTAGTTGCCAGACTTCTAAGTGTTTGCTGTTCTATGAATTGTAATCATGGAGCCTGAGCATTGTAGAATTTACAAAAGCAGTTCCTGACAAAAGCAGCACTGCCCCCAGGGACATATTGAAAATTAATGAGGGTGTTTTTGGTAACCATGGTGATGGGAGGACATGGGTGCTACTTATATTTAGTGGAAAGAAGACAAGAATGCTAGTTATTGTACAATGATCAAGAGAGTCCTGCACAGCCAAGAATTGTCTTTTTCTTTCTTTCTTGATGCTGTTCTCCTTTAAAACAAGACAAGATTAACAATAATTTAACTCCACTAACCACCATCATCACCACCTCCAACTTATATGCTACATTTCTTGTATATTTCAAGTCTGTTTATATTTTCAAGTGCCTCGAAGTATTATTGTTTTATAGCCAAATGTTTAGTTAATCTGCTCACAGATTTACCACTTTCTTCACTATTCATTCTGTCTTACACCTCTAACATTCCATCTGGGGTAATTTTCCTAAATGATCATGCATCCTTTGGGATTTCTTTTGATGATGGTCTATTGGTAGTAAACTCTCTCAGTTATTGTTTGTCTGAAAATGTCATGCTTTTGCCTTCATTGTTGAAGGGTGCTTTTGCTGGGTGGTCATTTCAGTATATTGAATATATCATTCCATCTTCCAGTGTCATCATTAAAAAGTCAGTTGCCAGTCTAACTGCAGCTCTTTTATAAGTAACCTGTCTTATTCTTCTGGCTGCATGTAAAAGTTTTCTCTTTGTCTTTGATTTTGTTTAGCTTCAATCTGCTGTGTCTTAATGATGGGTTCCTATTGTTTGTCCTGATTGGGATTCCGTTAAGATTCCTGAATCTGTGGGTAGATATCTTTAATCAGTTTTGAAACTTCTCAGCCATTCTTCTAAAATATTGATTCTCCTTCATTCTCTCCTCACCTTCTAGAATTCCAATTAAATGTATGTTAGACCCTGCTCTATCTTTCATATCTCTATACTCTCTTCTGTGTTTTTCATCCTTTTGTCTATTTTTCCATGCTTTATTCTGAATAGTTCCTTCTAATCTACCTTCCAATTAACTAATTTTCTCTTTAGCTATATCTAATTTGCTGTAATTAATTACAGTTGCCATTTTTATCCTAAAATTTCTATTTCATATTTTTGTATCTGCCATGGTACTTCTTATGGCTTTTAATTCCCTGCTAACTATTTAAAGTTCTTATTTTATCCTGTGAATATGATATTCCTAGTTATTTTATTTTTAATTTTTATTATTTGTTAATCTTATGTTTTATTTACACTTCTTTTCTGTGACATGAGCACACACAGATTCATGTGTATACATATATGGCTCTGATACCTCTCCTTTCCTGTCCTCATTCAAACCACTGATCACAGAGAGAGGACTATTTTTTTTTATTTTTAATTTTTCTATTTCAATAGGTTTTTGGGGGAACAGGTGGTGTTTGGTTACATGAATAAGTTCTTTAGTGGTGATTTTGGTGCACCCATCACCCAAACAGTGTACATTGTACCCAATGTGTAATCTTTTAACCCTTGCCACACCCCACCCTTTCCCCGCAGTCCGCAAAGTCCCATGTATCATTCTTATGCCTTTGCTTCCTCATAGCTTAGCTCCCACATATGAGTGAGAACATACAATGTTTGGTTTTCCATTCCTGAGTTATTTAATTAAAATAATAGTATCCAATTCCATCCAGGTTGCTGTGAATGCCATTATTTTGTTCCTTTTTATGGTTGAGTAGTATTCCATGGTGTGTTTGTGTGTGTATAACATTTTTCTTTATCCACTCATTGATTGATGGGCATTTGGGCTGGTTCCATATTTTTGCAATTGCAAATTGTGCTGTTATAAACATGTGTGTGCAAGTATCTTTTTTGTATAATGACTTCTTTTCCTCTGGGTAGATACCTAGTAGTGGGATTGCTGGATCAAATGGTAGATCTACTTTTAGTTCTATAAGGAATCTCCACACTGTTTTCCATAGTGGTTGTATGAGTTTACATTCCCACCAATGGTGTAAAAGTGTTCCCTTTTCACCACATCCACACCAACATCTATTATTGTTTGATTTTTTATTATGACCATTCTTGCAGGAGTGAGGTGGTATCACATTGTGGTTTTGATTT